>NC_000003.12:68191818-68494848 GCF_000001405.40 Homo sapiens | reverse complement strand
GGCACTATTTTAAGT
Organism: Homo sapiens; assembly: GCF_000001405.40. Lineage (NCBI taxonomy): Eukaryota > Metazoa > Chordata > Mammalia > Primates > Hominidae > Homo > Homo sapiens. The sequence continues at coordinate 68,494,833 of NC_000003.12, read as the reverse complement.
GCATTGTATGTTTTATCTAATCTTATCCTTATAATAACCCTATGAGGTAGTGTGTCAATTAGGAATTGCATTAAGCTGTTAGTGCAGAAATAACAGAGGCTTAAAAATAGTTTAATTTTCTTCTAAAGAAAATGATAAAAAATAATCAGCCCAGAGCTTGTGAGGTATCATTAGGAATTAATTCATCATGTGTGACTTCCATTTTCAAGAGTACTACATGAACCAAGATGACTACTGGAGTCTTCACATCTGCATTTTTACCAGCAAATGATAGGCAGGAGGAAAGTTCTCTGGGAGGCTTATTAAGATCTAGAACTTTCAGGCCACACCTGCCTGTGAGGGAGATTGGGATATATATTTTTCAGCTGTGAAATTTGATATTCAGCATAACATCTGGGTTATCCTACAGAGAAAAAAGAGGAGAATGATACCAGATATCAACTAGCACACTAGGAACCAGACAGTTCTTGTTACTATCCCTATTTTACAGAGAAGAAAATGGGCTTATCAATGTTAAGATCCTGATCACCAAGGTTTTAAGTGACAGGTCTAAAACTTATACCAATTAGCCAGGTGTGGTGATGTGCACCTGTAATCCCAGCTACTCGGGAGGCTGAGGCAGGAGAATCACTTGAGCCCAGGAGGTGGAGGCTGCAGTGAGCCGAGATTGTGCCACTGCACGCCAGCTTGGGTGACAGAGCGAGACTCTGTCTCAAAAAAAATTAAACAAATAAACTTCAGGTGTGGTGTTATGTTTAACCCTTACAAACAACCCTGGGAAATTGATATCATTAGTCCTAATTTTCAAGAAACTCAAACTTAGAAAGATTAAGACCATGATTATACAGCAAGCACAGCAAGTAAGATCAGAGACTGAATAAACTCCTGGTTATCAGATTCTGAATTGGAAGCTCCAAATCAACACACCATTTGGCATTTCTGGGAAAGGGTCAATACAAATTCCAGATGCTGTCTCACCCCACTGTGCATGAAGCCTCCAGGGAATGGGGCAGGAAAACGTCATAAACTTATAAAAGTAATGTTTCATCAGCCTTCAATTTCTTTTTAAATTTTCTGATCATTCATTGTCTAGAATGTGCTTGATCATAGAAATCACCTAAGCTATTTGTTTAAAAAACCAAATTTCCTCTTACATCCATTAGGATGGCTACTATAAAAAATAAATAACAAGTGTTGGTGAGGATGTATAGAAATTGAAACCCTTGTTCACTGTTGGTGTGAATGTAAAATAGGACACCTGCTGTGGAAAACAGTTATGGAGGTTCCTCAAAGAATTAAAATTACTGTATGATCCAGCAATTTCAATTCTGGGAATATATCCAAACAAATTTAAATCAGGGATTCTAAGAGACATTTGTGCACCCATGTGCATAGCAGCATTATTTACAGTAGCCACAAGGTAGTAGCAACCCAAGTGTCCATCAACAATGAATAGAAAAACAAAATGTAGTGTATATATACAATAAAATATTATTTAGCTTTAAAAAGGAAATTCCAACCCATGCCGCAACATAGATATACCTTGAGGACTTTATGCTAAGTGAAATAAGCCAGACATACAAGGAAAAATACAGTATGATTCCGCTTATATTTGACTACTTTCAGTAGTCAAGTTCATGGAGACAGAAGTAGAATGGTGGTTGCTGAGACGAGGAAGAGGGAGAAAAGGGGAGTTGTTGTTTAAAAAGTATGGATATTTACTATTGCAAGATGAGAAGAGTTCTGGAGATGATTTGCACAACAATATGAATGTACTTAATGCTACTAAACTGTACACTTAAAAATGGCTAAGATGGTAAGTACTATGGTATGTGTATTTTACAATAAAAAATAAGAAAAAAGAATTTTCTGGTTCTTTTCCCTAAAGATTATATTTAGCACATCTTGGATGGAGCCAAGAAATCTGTATATTCAAAAACTGCCCCAGCTCATCCTTCTAATCAGACTAATGTAGGAAATAGACCTTTTACATGGCTTAATCAAGTGCTTTCTCCTTTAATGCTGAACTCACAGAGATTTTGAAGGTGAAAATGTCTTCCCACGGTAGTTTTTTTAAAGCTTTTCCTTCCAAGAAGAAGAAGAAGAAAAAAACTACAAAACCTTGCTTATTCTTGATGTTCTGTTTTTTTCTACAAAATAAATATAGAAACACTGCAAGCAAACTATCAAACTCCAGAGATACTTATCTTGAAACTTCAGCATTAAAAACTCATCCATAAAGTCATGAATCAAAGACTACAATAAAACAACAGAGAAGTTGGGCAAGCACTCCTTTCTGATTCATTCATTGGTTTCTTCTTTCACTCATGGAGAGATCAGATGAATTCAGGGAGAAATGAGGGAATGGAGAATATCAGAGAAGCAGCTCCCTCAGAAATTCTCTCTGAAGTCGGATTTCCCTAGGCTTTGCTGCCTTAACTTTTATAAAAGAAAGTCTCAGTGATACCGAAGCCTCCACTGAGTATTTTGGAAAGTACTTGATGCAAAAAAAAACAAAAAAACAACCACTGGTTGAAATAGAATGGGTCCATAAGAAGGCAATTCTGCTTAATTTATCAAGACTTAATCACAGTGGGAAAGGGAGTTTCTACAGCGTTTTTAATCCTTTTATGGAGCAATGCAATTATAACCAGGGACCCACAAGGACCAGTCTCCATATAGAGGTGCATTGTACACAACAGCAAATATCCGCTAATTTCTATTTTTTTGGTGCATGTTTTAATTTTTTATGTACTGATCATAATATGTAAGTACAGAACTGCTTGTACGTAGACTAAGGAAATAAGTACACATAAATCGAGGGCATATTCTTAAATGTTTTTTACTATTGAGGTAGGTCATCGATACAGTTTGATGTAGAACAGAGCTCCTCTGTCTTTGGTGGGCTTCAGAATTATCTGGAAGTCTTGTTAAGATGCAGATTTCTGGGACATACAGGCAGAGATTCTGATTTGGTAGGTCTAGAGTAGGGGCTGAGAAATTATATTTTTAACTATTTCCCATGTTGTGCTGACAGTGCCCATCCATAAACATGACGTTGGGTAGCACTATTCCAGAGTAGTGGTTATCAGACAATTTGGTTTCAGGATCCCTTTCCACTCTTTTTTAAAATTTATTTATTTATTATACTTTAAGTTTTAGGGTACATGTGCACAATGTGCAGGTTAGTTACATATGTATACATGTGCCATGTTGGTGTGCTGCACCCATTAACTTGTGATTTAACATTAGGTATATCTCCCAATGCTATCCCTCCCCCCTCCCCCCACCCCACAACAGTCCCCAGAGTGTGATGTTCCCCTTCCTGTGTCCATGTGTTCTCATTGTTCAATTCCCACCTATGAGTGAGAATATGCGGTGTTTGGTTTTTTGTTCTTGGCGATAGTTTACTGAGAATGATGATTTCCAATTTCATCCATGTCCCTACAAAGGACATGAACTCATCATTTTTTATGGCTACATAGTATTCCATGGTGTATATGTGCCATCTTTTCTTAATCCAGTCTATCATTGTTGGACATTTGGGTTGGTTCCAAGTCTTTGCTATTGTGAATAGTGCTGCAATAAACATACGTGTGCATGTGTCTTTACAGCAGCATGTTTTATAATCCTTTGGGTATATACCCAGTAATGGGATGGCTGGATCCCTTTCTACTCTTAAAAATTGTGGAGGAGGCCAGCTGCAGTGGGTCATGCCTGTAATCCTAGCACTTTAGAAGGCCGAGGCAGGAGGATCGCTTGAGCCTGGGAGTTTAAGACCAGCCTGGGCAAGAGGATAAAATCCCATCTCTATAAAAAGTACAAAACTTAGCTGGGTGTGGCAGTGTACACCCATAGTTCCAGCAACTCGGGGGGTTGAGGTGGGAGGATTGCTTGAGCCTGGGAGGTCCGGCTGTAGTGATCTGTAATTGCATTACTGCACTCCAGCCTGGGTTGACAGAGTAAGACCCTGTCCCCCCCACAAAAAAAAAAGAAAAAAAAGAAAAAATTGTAGAGGATTCTAAATAACTTTGTTCATCTATTGATATCTGTTGATATTTACTGCATTAGAAATTAAAAGTGAAAAATTAAAAATATTTTAAAATTTATTTAACAATAAACCTCACATGTTAATGTAAATGGCATATTTTAAACAAAAATAACTATATTTTCCAAAACAAAAAAAATTAGCAAGAAGAGTGGCTTATTTTATGATTTTTAAATCTCTTAAATGTCTAGCTTAATAGAAGAAAGTTTTAGTTTCACTCTGTTCTTCTGTATCCAAACTTTTATGATATGTTGTCTTGCTTGAAGCATATAAAGAAAATTTGCCCTTACATAGATATGCAGCTGGAAAATGGGGAAATGTTATATGATATGATAATATTATAGGATTATAACAGTCTTTTAAGATAATCATGGATATTTTTCTTTCGTATTAAAAGCTCAAAATATAGTAGTTTCTTAAAATTTAGTTGCAATATTTCTCTGAAACCTTATCAATGGCTACCTGAAAATCCACTGGTCTGTCTTCTCCTGTGAGTGGTCTTATATCCATGCAAGATTTTGTAATATGATGAACTATTCACTGGAAAATATTGGTTCACTGAATTAAGCAGACTTTTGAAATGTTGAAATATTTCACTGTCTAATAAAAGTAGTGGTTTTTAAATATCATTACCAATAACATCAGAAAAGTCCATAAGTATTGGAAATCTGTCAAGCTAAAATTTCCCAAAATTTGAATTTTTCACTTGAAAGCTTGAGCTCTATCATTGGCAACAAATGCTATTGGTTATTTTCCTTGGAAGTGATAGTCTCACTTTTTATTTTGTTTTGTTTCACAAAAGGGTTGCAAAATACCAAGTCTGAATAACCATAGTTTGTCAATTTTTCATTTAAGTAAAAAAGATGGCTCATCCAGCTGGCCATTTGATTCACAATCACAATATATGTACTTGCCATTTTGTCACATGAAATATTACATGTGCTCAAGAGTTTAGATTAAATAAAATTAATAACTTTTCACTGGTTTCTTAATAACATTTTTAAGAAAATGGCCATTCTTTTATTTTACCATGTGCATATGGCAGCAAATAAAACAATGGCTACTAGTATATTTTGGTGCCACTGCCTTGATTTTGTGCTAAGGAAACAGCAGTACTACTTATCATCGCTTTTGTAGCATTAATGCAAATGTCAACACAGTGAAAAAGAAGAATGTTTTATTATTTTCTGAAAATAATTTTGAACACGACCCTAAATGAGTCATAGAAAAACACCGGGGGTCTACGGACCACAGTATGGGAAATGCTTTTCTAGAGAACAATACAGAGTGAACATTGAAAATCAACTTGCAAATAGAGTTTGGCCTACAGATATATTTTATTTGGTCATCACAGTGCTTAAAAATTAAATTAAATTAGCTTTAAACATTTAATAATGAAAAAATTTCATATCAAAATATGGCTTTCAGACTTTTCTTGGTAGACCATAGAATTGGTAGCATTGGCTCCTCATTCCTTCATGGTGATGATAGGTATTCGCTACTCCTTTTGCATGAGGCACGCTTCTCCTAAGTTGCTATAGTTCCCATTTTTATTCATTACATTTACCTTCCTAGGTGCAAAGCAATCTGAGTCTGCAAATCCTGGTATTATGACAAAATGATGAAAAGCAAAGCCTTTGAGTTGGATATGCATGAGTTAAAAACTGCAACTCTTCTGCCTTACTAGCTATGTGACTTGTGACATTAGCTCAATTTTTCTTAGTCTCAGTTTTCTTATGTTCCAAATGAGGATAATAATATGAAAGTTGTCAGGATTAAATGAGATTCTGAAAATAAAGCACTTAGCTCAGAGCCTGTCAGATCTGTAAGTGCATAATAAATGTCGGTTCTGTTGGTGGTGCCAGTTATAACAGAGCCACATGTTCACTTAATCCTCATAATAACCCTATGAGGTGATTCCATTTTAGAGATGAGGAAAATGAGGCACAGAAAAATTAAACAGCTTTCCCAAAATAACACAATCAATCAACACCAACAGCTTTAATTCCACTACTAATAAAAATGAGACAACAATGCCATATATTGAGCACTCATCATATTGCAGGCTGTACACTAATAATCTTCTATTTATCATCTCATTTAATATTTACAAAACCCTGTGGTGCAGGTATCTTATTGCCATTATGCAGATGGAAAAATTGAAGCCTAGGGAATTTGAGGAATTTTCTCAAGATCAAAAGCAGATCCTGGACTTGAACCCAAATAGGACTCCAGAGTTTTGGTCCTTAAGAGTCCCAAGTCTCAGTGCTTTTTGTACACTGTGATGGTTAATATTGCGTGTCAACTTGATTGTATTGAAGGATGCAAAGTATTGTTCCCCTGAGGATGTTGCAAAAGAAGATTAACATTTGAGTCAGTGGACTGAAGGTAGACCCACCCTCAATCTGAGTGGGCACCATCTAATCAGCTGCCAGCGTGGCTAGAATAAAAGCAGACAGAAGAACGTGAAAATATTAGACTGGCCTAATTTTCTGGCCTACGTCTTTCTCCCATGCTGCATGCTTCCTGCCCTTGAACATCGGACTCCAAGTTCTTCAGCTTTGGGACTCTGACTGGCTTCCTTGTTCCTCAGCTTGCAGACGGCCTATTGTGGGACATCACCTTGTGATTGTGTGAGTCAATACTCCTTAATAAACTCCCCTTTACGTATACATCTATCCTATTAGTTCTGTCCTTCTAGAGAACCCTGGCTAATACATACGCATACTAGTAGGTGCTGAAATATGGTTTTATCTGTCTCTACTGACACTATGCTTATTGCTATGTGGGGGCATCTGTAAAGAAGAAATTTGTGCTACTTACTGCAACCTGTAGATGCCAGATCACGTAGCGGCTTCTTTCTGTAAAACCCTCCAATACATGCCAATAAAAAGAACAAGCAAAAACATCTACAACACTCTAAATGTTTCAATATGATGAATGTGTAATTTATCACTTCACCTTTTTTTTTTTTCTTTTGGTACAGAGAACAGTTTAACACTCACCACTCACAGAATTTTTTTTTTTTTTTTTTGAGACAGAGTTTCGCTCTGTCCCCCAGGCTGGAGTGCAGTGGCGCGATCTCGGCTCACTGCAAGCTCCACCTCCCAGGTTCACACCGTTCTCCTGCCTCACCCTCCCGAGTAGCTAGGACTACAGGCACCTGCCACCACGCCCAGCTAATTTTTTTTTCTGTATTTTTAGTAGAGACAGGGTTTCACCGTGTTAGCCAGGATGGTCTCGATCTCCTGACCTTGTGATCCGCCCGCCTCGGCCTCCCAAAGTGCTAGGATTACAGGTGTAAGCTACCACGCCTGGCCAACAGTCATAGAAATTTTAACATTTGTAGAAATAAACACACACTTCCATCTTTACAAATATGCGATGACTTATGAATCATAAAACATAATTAACTTGCTGTGAAAAATTAAGAAATGATGAACTTGGCTATTCTTTTCTTTTGTCAAATCTAGAGCTTTTAAATAATAAAAGAAATTTACAGTGTGTTATAAAAAAGATGATGCTGGTTTCTGACTGTAATTAGAACCATCCGAATTTTGCTATCAAGTACTATCAAGTTTCCACAAAGCTTCCCTGACATTATAATATTTTGGATTAAGTCACATTTCTAGACAATTGACATTCTCTCTTATTTGCAATTAAATTCTGATGTTTCAAACGCTCTCTGGACCATCATAACATTTCCCATCTTTTCATAAGTTTAAGAATGATCTGGCTTGGATTCATCGGATCTCAAAGGATAAAATTACTGTTATTTCTGGTATTTGATTTCATTTTATCTTTATTTTGTTGTCAAAACTTACTGGCAATGAAACATCACAATAAACTCACATTTTAAATGGTTTTAAATTGTTTTAAAAATGAGCATACCAATAACACATAGGGTGATACCAAACTGCCCCCGAAATGTAGAAAACACTGATTAGGACAAAATGCTAAGATATTGAATGAGAAGTGGGTAGCTCAGTTGTGTATGTGCCCAGATATCAAGACATCCAGGTAATTAACTGAATGCTTACCTTTTTAATGATAAATAATGCTGCATTGACACCATCAAACAAGGGTTCTTTTCGCAGACCCAGAGGTCGTCATTACGAAATGCTTTGCTATATGTCTTGTATTGGTGAGTACAATGCATTATCTCTTTCAACTACCCTGTTAGAAAGATGAGTTATCATCTTCATTTTATATATGAGGAAACAGTCTTAGATCAAAGAGCGTTCCACAAATCACAGTGCTAGCAACTGGTAAGGCTGAGATTTGAACCCATTTCTGTTTGTGTTCAAAGTCTAAGCTTTTCTCATGTTGGAGGCATGGTACAGATCAGGTGCTGCAAATGGGAACGACCAAGGTCCAGGTAGACGGCCTGAATTTGTGAACATGGTCATGTTTCAGACCACAGGGAGTGGCCAGATAAGCAAGCAAAGCAAAAACAATCCTGTATATGGCTTTTTTTTAATTTAGTAACTAGTTGTTCAGGCTGCTGAAATCTGTTTAATAAGAATTTATCGGGCTGGTGGCCCACATCTGTAATCTCAGCACTTTGGGAGGCTGAGGATGGCTTGAGCCCAGAAGTTTGAGATCAGCCTGGGCAACTTATTGAGACCCTATCTCTACCAAAATAAAATAAAATAAAATAAAATAAAATAAAATAAAATAAAACAAAATAAAATAAAATAAAATAAAATAAAAATAAAAATTTAGCCAGGAATGGAGGCTACTCACTCAGGAGCTGCTTGAGCCCAGGAGGTCGAAGCTGCAGTGAGCCATGATCACACCACTGCACTCCAGCCTAGGTGATAGTGAGAACACATTTTAAAAAAATAAAATTATCAGTGAAGGAAAGTTCTCCATTTTACTGACCTTCAGTGAATTACAGATTAAATGTTTAAAAGCAGTGACTGGAGAGATAGTCAATGATCCCAAACTTTCCTCTTAAATGCTTACTGGCTTTTTACTATAGCAAAATGTACATTTTAGTATTTAAAATTTCCTAGAAATTATAGTTCAAGGTGCAAATCAGTGGTGAACTACCATCAGGCAAGTAGCCAGTGAGAGGGTCTGAATCATCTATTGGTATAAATAACTGGGCATTTGAATTTAATTGACTGAATATAGAATTCTTTACCAGGTATATGCAAGGACTTTTATAGTAACTACAATTTGCTTACATTTATTGGAGTGTCAAAGGAAATAGAGGAATTGAAATACCTTAGATGCTTTCTGGTAAATACGGTGAGTAAACTTGGGTTTCAATATTGCATAAGGAGTGGCTCAGAAAAATTTCATCAGGTACACTCATCTAAATTCTGACTTTGTCAGTAGAGGCAAAAAATGATGGACTTTTCCTGATTCTCTAAGTAAGCCAGTGGCAAAGTACAACAAAAACACAGATTTATTTAGGCCACTGTTAACACATGTAGTGTGGGTTGGGGTAGAGCAACTTAGCACAAACAAGTGGGTTGTTTTGAAAACAAATGGCTGGAATCAGTTAGACATCTGGCAAAGCCAGCTGGCAGGTTGACAACATTTACCCTTGTGTGTGATAAGGTAGTGCAGTTGACCACCAAGAGAGATTTTGTAGCCTGTAGCTGCGGCAATTGTTAAGAGAAAAGACAGTTATTTGTTCTGGGTGGATTAGAGGCCCCAGAGGCTGGAGACTGCAACCCATGAACCTTTTCATTGCTACTTTGTGTGTAGATACAGCCACATCCACCTCCTTAAAATTCTAATAATCTTCCTATCTTTGCAAGAGCATGTGTTGCCATGAAGGTAATCAAAGGATGGGTTAAAATAGCCTTGATTATGACTCTTGCCTTGAAATTAAACCCCAGCAAACAAATTGTTTCCCTTTTCCCTGAGAAGATTTTAAATCCAATTTATTTAAAGTTTCTATTTAAACTGAAAATACTGTAGCATCTCATGGAAAGTGAAATCAATCTCTTTAGAAAAAGGGAGAGGAGTAAGTAGAAGGGGAGAATGTGGGCCAAGTGTATGAAGATTAAAACTTGCTTTTTCAAAGATTTTGAAATATGAGAAACTACTTCTGCCTCTAGGATTAATGATGGATCCTTGGGACAGAATCACTCCATTTAACTGCCTTCCTGGTTGCTTAATAGGCATCTTGAACTTGATATATCTAAACCCAAACTCCTCATTCTGCTTCTGCCCAGCTTCTTTCTCTCCTAGGCTTTGATCATTCAGAAAATAGAACCAACAACCTAGTTGCTCATGCCAACCTCCAGAAATCAGCTTCTATTCCTTTTTTCACCTCACCCACCAATCCAATGCATTGCATCTTACCTCCCTGACACATCCCAAATTAATTCCTCTCTGCTACTCTTACCCTGGCTCATCCCCTTTCACCTAGACCGCTGCAATAGCCAATAACTGTTTCCCTTGCTTCCACTCTTGCTCTAGATATTCCATTCCCTACTCAGTAGTCACAGTGATCTTTCTAAAACTATGCTGTTCAACATGGTAACCACTAGGCAGAGTGCCTTCTGAGCCCTGGAAAGGTGGCTGGTTCCAAATGAGATACGCTATAAGTCTAAAATATACACTGAATTTTAAGATTTAGTACAAAGAAGAAAGAATGTAAAATAACTCGTTAATAATTTTTATATTGATTACATGTTGAAATGACAATAATTTGGATGCATTTGGAGTAAAGCAGTATGAAAATTAAGTTTACTTGTGTCTTTTTACTTTTGAATGTGGCTACTAGAAAATGTAGAGTCACATGTGTGATTCACATTGTATTGTCATTGGACAGTGTTATTGTAAAATGTACGTATCAGATTGTGTTTCTCCCTAGCTTAAAATCCTTCCGTGGCTTCCCAAGGCATAAAATCAAGCTTCATACCTCAGTCTAAAGAGCTATAAGTGACTTGGCCTCAACCTCCTATTGTTTCCTTCTATAAACTTCGGGCTCCAGTGACACTGGCCCTTTGCCTGTTTTTTAAACATGTGAAAGGCATTATCCTCTTAAAGTCTTAGCTCTTGCTGTTCCCTCTGCTCTGAAGGCTTCTCTCCCACAAGTTTACCTATATCAGCCCCACAGAATCTGTTTCAGGGAGGTATTTTTCAAACCACCCTAGGTAAAATAAACCCCTGACTCTTCCAACCACATCTCCCTGTCTACCCTTCTTTATTGCAACTAGCATTCTCTGAAATTATCTTGCTGCTCATTTGTATTTTGTCTTCTTCTCCCATTCTGCCCATGACAACTGGGACAAAAAATCCCTCTAAAGCAGGGTAGTGGGTAAGCTAAATATAACTTCTTAATCAGAGGCTACAACTGAGCACATAAAGAGTGTTCAGTAAATATTTGCTGAATGGATTAATGAAAAAGATGTAAATGGGTTTTATAATCCATGAAGCATTATATAGATCCGGGTACATATTGTCTATGATTAATTCCCTGCTACGAGAGTACAGTTGAATAGCTTTGAAAGAGACCATACTTGGTCAACAAAGCCAGAAATGTCTGTTCTTTACAGAAAATGTTTATTGACCCCTGACATGTATATCTATTTTTTAAAGTTATGCAAGATCCTTATGAGTTGGGCCTTCTCTGTCTCCAGTGTGTGCTGGGTTACTTCCTTACTCCCATTCTGTGGCATAGCTGAGCTAGACTACTTGCTGAGGCCTGGATGCACCTTTTTATTTCAAGGGCATGCCTTTTTATTTGCTGATTCCTTAGTTGGGAATATCTGTCTTCCCTATGTCTGGCAAAGACCTATGTTGATTGCAAGAAACAACAGAACTGACCCCAACTGGCTTAAGAAAGAAGTTGAATTTAGTGGCTCCACGAATTAAACAGTCCAGGGACAGGACTAACTTTAGGCACTTCCAGGACCAGAGGCTTCAACTATGTCAACAGAATCTAGTTTCTTTCTCTCCATTGCTCTGTTCTTCCCCTAATGTTAGCTCAAATCTCAGGCAGATTTTCTACTTATGGTGGCAATAAGGCTTCCAGGAGCTCCGAAAGGCCTGAATCCATCACCCTGGCTACAAGAATGTGTTGTTTAAATTGGCTCAGAACTATGTTAATGTCAGCCTGCTGGGTGAAGTCCATAGACAGTTCTACCAAAAGGAAGAGAGTAGAGGAATTAATCTTCTTGAGGAAAATCAGGACTTTTAAACCAGGAGAAGTAGGAAATGAAAGCTGTGTGGCAAAACTCATGGATACCTGCTACCTCATCTTTTAAGACCTAGGGGAAATGTTATCCCCTTTTGCAAGTTTTCACTGACAACTCTGTTACTTTTCTAGGTGATTTCTATACCCATTCTCATCTCCCTGGTCTTTCCTCTGTGTCAGCACTGCCAACCCCATGTGGTAATCATTGGTTAACTTGCTTCTCTTTTGCAGAGGCTTCCAGCTTCTTTTCTTCTTGGTGTCTACAATATCCAAATACAGTGCCTGATATACAGGAGGAGCCCAGTAAATGCAGAATAAATGTTTAAGAATTTCACACCTGCAATCCCAGCACTTTGGGAGGCCGAGGCGGGCGGATCACGAGGTCAGATCGAAACCATCCTGGCTAAAACGGTTAAACCCCGTCTCTATTAAAAATACAAAAAATTAGCCAGGCATGGTGGCAGGTGCCTGTAGTCCCAGCTACTCAGGAGGCTGAGGCAGGACACTGGCATGAACCCGGGAGGCAGAGCTTGCAGTGAGTCAAGATCGCGCCACTGCACTCCAGCCTGGGCGACAGAGCGAGACTCCGTCTCAGAAAACAAAACAAAAAAAAGAAAGTATGCTGTCTTTTGGATCTCTTTTCTTGAGTAACAGATTCTGTGTAAAAGTTGTGTCTTGGGAGAATTACTCTAGTAGGGTGAATTTGAGAAGATTGCAACTAGAAGACCATTACTGTGTTTCAGTGTGAAATGAAGAAGAATGAGTCAAAGATGCTGGGCCATGGTAGTAGGAAAATAATGAAGGAATTCGTATTAAGAAATGCTCTCTCTGAATCAGTGATTTAGAGACAAATCTCTAAATTATTGATCAAAAACTTAGACCAATTAAAAAAGCTACGACATATTGATATATGCCTATGTGCTAGGAATTGTGTAATCTGCTTTATATAAATTAACAAATTAGAGTCTCTCAATACCCCTGGAGGTAAGGTAATAGTCTAATTTTAGAGATAAAGAAAGAGTTTCAGTAATGTTAAGCAAGCTGTTCAAGGAGAAGTAGTGAGTTAGGGTAGAATTTAGCTCGGAATGAAACTCTGCCTCTAAAGGGTGTGTTGTCATGAAAGCCAAAAGAGGTATATAACGTCATCCAATTCTTCTAACACTCTTTTAGATCCCAAGATGAGTGACTCTGAGAATGAAGGTCTGTATTAGTTTTAGCAGTTTGAGCAAGACACCACTTGTTTGTGGTAATACTCTTCAGACACTTAATAGATTAAAACACTCACTGTTTATAGACCCCCAATCCATTGTCATAGTAAGGTCTCAGATGATCTCCCTGGTGGTGCCAGATAACATCAGAAGTCAGATAACAGTCAAGAGTTGAATAAAGAGCTCATGGCTTTGTTGTCACAGAATCAAGTCTCAAATCCAGCAGTAAAAGAGATATTGAAAGTCAACAATGTATGTTCAAAAACATGGTAGTCTTTGTATTAGTTTGTTTTCACACTGCTGATAAAGACATACCTGAGTCTGAGTAATTTATAAAGAAAAGAGGTTTAATGGATTCACAGTTCCACATGGCTGGGAAGGCCTCACAATCATGGTGGAAGGCAAGGAGGAGCAAGTCACATCTTACATGACGGCAGGGAAGAGAGAACGAGAGAACCAAGCAAAACGGGTTGCCCCTTATAAAACCATCCTATCTCCTTAGACTTATTCACTACCACGAGAACAGTATGAGGGAAACTGCCCCTATAATTCAATTATCTCTCACTGGGTCCCTCCCACAACATATGGGAATTATGGGAGCTACAATTCAAGATGAGACTTGGGTGGGGACACAGCCAAACCATATCAGTTTATAAAGTGACCAAACTTACAGGGATTCCTATAGTACTTACGCTTTCATTATTTGCTGTATGAAACAATAGCTACTGACAACTGGATTTCTGGCCTACTCTTTGCTCTCAAAGAGTTTATAATCTAAAAAGAAGGAAACAGACACCTAGGGTTCTGAGGATTTGACAGGTTCATAAAATACTAGAAGGGATATTACAGATCATTTAGTTCAGTGGTTCTCTAGTCTTAATATGCTTCAGAATGACCTAGAAGACACTGTTATAACAGAGATTACCGTACTGCACTCACGACTTTCTGACTCAGTTGGTCCTGAGTAGATCCTAAGAATTTACATTTCTTTTTCTTTTTTTTATGTTTTTTGAGACCAAGTCTCGCTCTGTCACCCAGGCTGGAGTGCAATGGCACGATCTTGCCTCACTGCAACCTCCGCCTCCCAGGTTCAAGCGATTCTCCTGCCTCAGCCTCCCAAGTAGCTGGGATTACAGGTGAGTGCCAACATGCCTGGCTAATTTTTTTTTTTTTTTTTGTATTTTTAGTAGAGATGGGGTTTCACTGTGTTAGCCAGGATGGTCTCGATTTCCTGACCTTGTGATCCACCTGCCCTGGCCTCCCAAAGTGCTAGGATTACAGGTGTGAGCCACTGCGCCCAGCCAACCCCAAGAATTTATATTTCTAAAAAGTTTCCACATCTTACTGATGTTATTTGCATGGAACCACACTTTGAGAGCCAATGCTTTAGGCCACGTATTTCATTATGCAAATGAGAGAATCCAATCTTAGAGAAGTGAAAGACTTGTCTCAAACCATGTTAGCTAATGTCACAGCTGAAAATGAGGGCTTCTCCCTAATGTGGTGATGTGTGTGTTTGTGTGTGTGTGTGTGTATGCGTGTGTATGAGTATGAATGTGTATGTGTGCATGTATGTATATATGTTTATTTTTCTGGCCTATGAACCATCCATTACTCCTTGTACTGATTTAATTATGCCTCCCCTCTTCTTAGTCCCTATGATTTGAATGAAGCTGGTATCACAGCCTCCTGCAGAGAAAAGAGTGTGAAAAATGTTGGAAATACCTTCAGAATTCACATAGCCCTTCTGATTGAGCATGTACATTTTCCAGAATCTCTCCTACAAATATAGTCTCATGTTATATAAATATATCAAGTATTGTGTTTATCCCAGCATTGCTTTAATAGGAAGAAAATAACAAAATGTCCATCAGGAAGAGACTGTTCAACTGAATCATGGTAGATGCCTATAATGTAAACTCATGTAGCCATTTCATAAAATAAGAGAGACATGCTGACATTGATCTCTGGAAGTCTTGCATTTAGGACATTGAAAGAGCTGTAAGATCTAAGAAGTGAGAAAAAGCAAGATGTAAACAATGTCTAAAGCTGTTATTTATACAGAGTGGAAATATGTGTATTCACATATATGTACAGACAATATATTAGTGTATATGTGTGTATGGAGCTACAGTTTATAGGGTACAGACATATATATATATATATATATATTTTTTTTTTTTTGAGATGGAGTCTCACTTTGTCACCAGGCTGGAGTGCAGTGGCACAATCTCGGCTCACTGCAACCTCCACCTCCTGGGTTCAAGCGATTCTCCTGTCTCAGCCTCCTAAGTGGCTGGGACTACAGGCGCGCGTCACCATGCCCAGTTAATTTTTGTATTTTTAGTAGAGATGGGGTTTCACTATGTTGGCCAGGATGGTCTCGATCTCTTGACCTCGTGATCCACTTGCCTCGGCCTCCTAAAGTGCTGATTACAGGCATGAGCCACTGCGCCTGGCCTACAGATATATATTTTTATGTATATATATATATATACACACATATACGACATAAAAATGTATATGTGACTTCTAAAAGATATTTCAATATTTCATAAAATTGATTTAATTTTTGGAGTCTTTAATAATATAGAAATATAGAATTGGGTATTTCCATATACAACACATACCTTTTTCAAATAATCATTTATTCATTTAAATAACATTTTTTGATTTCTTGTACACTCACATGTTATAGTTCAGGTTGTTCTTATGTTAAATTTTATAAATTGCTAGTTGTTTCAAAGTGGAACAGAAGTTGAGGACCACTTGCAATAATGTCTTAGAATTGATAGGCTCAATCTACAAAAACTGATTATTCATATTTTATAGCTAATAAACTACGATGGCACAGAAATGATTCCAGCATGTAAGGGAAGAGTCACTATTTCAACTTTTAGCTTCTTATGGAAGGTGAATAAATATTCATTGAGACATGATCCCATATTTTGCAGACTCTAAGCCTTACTGAAAGTAATTTTTACTTGTTTTTTTTCTTCTTATTTCCACTTTATGTCATAGATGCTGTTAGATGTTTTATCTCAAACAGATTGCTGAAAGTCTTCCAGATCTCTCATTTAGAAAGGGCCTGTTGACTTTCTTGCTGAGGACCATGAGCAGACCACATAAATATGCACAGGTGCCTTGAGCACATCACTGAGAATTCTTCTCAACTCTGTCAACTTGCCATACTGTGTTCCAATTTGTTAAACAAAGAGAGTGGCAAAATTGGGAATACCTAATGAGACAGTAAATGCTGCTGCTGTTACCTATGAGAATTCAGGAATCACAAGGAATACGTCTGCCCATACCTCCAAGGACCAACTTCAGTCTTGATCTCTGATAGTCCTTTTTGCTCTAAATTTCACCCCATGATTTAAAACACTTTCCCCTTTTCTGCTGGACAAAGCACAGGCTCCAAATCTCTCATGAATAGGGGAATGATTTCCAAGCCATTAGTGGAACTATTTCTGTGTTACTGATGATCCATGCCTCTCATTCTAAACTCAAATTCTAAAACTCAAGTTAAAATGACAATGAGTTACCTCTCTATATCCAATAATATGTATTTTTCAAAGCCTAAACTTGATAATACCAAGTATTGGTAGAACCTCTTTGGAAAACTAGCTATATCTTCTAAAGCTGAAAAATATATATTTTCAGAAATTCCACTGTTAGGCTTATATCCAACAGAAATATTTATATATGTTTGCCAAAAGATACATAAAGAATGTCTATAAGAACACTGTTTACGCCTGTAATCCCAGCACTTTGGGAGGCTAAGGTGGGCAGATGACTTGAGGACAGGAGGTTGAGACCAGCCTGACCAACATAGTGAAACCCCATCTCTACTACAAATACAAAAAAAAAAATTAGCCAAGCATGTTGGCACATGCCTATAATCCCCGCTACTTGGGAGGCTGAGGCAAGAGAATCACTTAAACCTGGGAGGTGGAGGTTGCAGTTAGCTGAGATTGCACCACTGCACTCCAGCCTGGGCGACAAAAGCAAAACTCCATCTCAAAAAAGAATTTTTTTTTAAAAGCACTATTTATAATAGTCCCAAGCTGGAATCTACTTGAATGCCCATCAAAAGTAGAGTAAATTTTTAAAATATACACTCATTCTGTGGAATTCTATATAGTAATGAGAAGGAAAAGAAATAACTATTATATGCAACAATATGGATGAATCTCATAAACAAATTATGTTAAAATATATAAAAGAGTATATACTATATATATAAAACATATAATTGTGTTGTATAATTTATAGTTCAAAAAGAATCAAAACTAATATATGGTGTTAGAAGTCAGGATAGATACCCTTGGGGGAATGCAGCAGTTGAAGTCAGGATAGATATCCTTGGGGGAATGAAGCAGTTGAAAGGAGACACATGGGGGTCTCTGAGATGTTGATCATGTTCTGTTTCTTCATCTGAGTGCTGGATACATGGGTGTATTTACCTTGTGTAAATTCCAGCAGCCTTTTAATATTTATGTTATACATTGATCAAAATAATAAAAATTAACCATTATGATAGAACATACTCATTTCATCCTATTACTAATAACTATAATATTGGTATAAAACACTAATAGTTATAACTAATATTGGTATAAAAATTTTCTGGTTACAAATGGGTTCTATATATCCTTTAAAAATAATCTTGGATCCTGGTAACAAATCCTATGAATGTAAAAGGATGGGTATTAGAAAATAATCCTCAGGGTTAATTTAGGTGTGGCCCCAGGTCACAGCATATCTTTTAGCCACAATTATTGAATAAGAAATAGATATCTATGAAGCCACCTTAAGTCAACTTGAAAAATGACAATTATTAGGCTTCTTTAATCATGTGAAACTATTCATTCATTATTACTCTACACTTCCAGATATGTAAAAATAGATGTAAAATTTCAGGTGGTTAAACTGGAATTCTTCACACGTTTGTAAAACACCTCAAAATCCCCAATGTCATCTCTGCATTTTTAAAGACTAGTTGAGTTCCATGCTTCCCTTTCATAACCTTTGTACTAAACAGGACAGGTCCCGAGCACTTTTCTCACTGTGTTGAATGGCTGCAGGTTTCTGAAGACTGTGGCTATCTCAAACTTAACAGCTTAAGGTCAGGACCTTTAAAATTAGAAGCCAGCAAAAATTTTCTCCCATTCTGTAGGTTGCCTGTACACTCTGATGGTAGTTTCTTTTGCTGTGCAGAAGCTCTTTAGTTTAATTAGATCCTATTTGTCAGTTTTGGCTTTTGTTGCCATTGCTTTCGGTGTTTTAGACATGAAGTCCTTGCCCATGTCTATGTCCTGAAATTTTTGCAATCTACTCAACTGACAAAGGGCTAATATCCAGAATCTACAATGAACTCAAACAAATTTACAAGAAAAAAACAAACAATCCCATCAAAAAGTGGGCGAAGGACATGAACAGACACTTCTCAAAAGAAGACATTTATGCAGCCAAAAAACACATGAAAAAATGCTCCTCATCACTGGCCATCAGAGAAAAGCAAATTAAAACCACAATGAGATACCATCTCACACCAGTTAGAATGGCGATCATTAAAAAGTCAGGAAACAACAGGTGCTGGAGAGGATGTGGAGAAATAGGAACACTTTTACACTGTTGGTGGGACTGTAAACTAGTTCAACCATTGTGGAAGCCAGTGTGGCGATTCCTCAGGGATCTAGAACTAGAAATACCATTTGACCCAGCCATCCCATTACTGGGTATATACCCAAAGGATTATAAATCATGCTGCTATAAAGACACATGCACACGTATATTTACTGTGGCACTATTCACAATAGCAAAGACTTGGAACCAACCCAAATGTCCAACAATGATAGACTGGATTAAGAAAATGTGGCACATATACACCATGGAATACTACGCAGCCATAAAAAATGATGAGCTCATGTCCTTTGTAGGGACACAGATGAAGCTGGAAACCATCATTCTCAGTAAACCATCACAAGGACAAAAAACCAAACACGACATGTTCTCACTCATAGGTGGGAATTGAACAGTGAGAACACATGGAGACAGGAAGGGGAACATCACACACAGGGGACTGTTGTGGGGTGGGGGGATGGGGGAGGGATAGCATTAGGAGATATACCTAATGCTAAATGATGAGTTAATAGGTGCAGCACACCAACATGACACATGTATACATATGTAACAAACCTGCACATTGTGCACATGTACCCTAAAGCTTAAAGTATAATAATAATAATTTAAAAAAGAGATTAAAAAAAAATAGAAGCCAGCATTTAAAGAGTGACTCTGGAGATTGGGACCAGGAATCGTTTCACATCTGACCCTGAGCAAGAGAGATTTTCAGTTTTATCATCAATGGTGAACTCAAAGAACCAGAGCTTCTTTGATAAAGAAGTACGATCTTAGCTAATCAGTTCAGCACATCTCATCTCAGCTGTGAGGAACTCTCCACTTTTGTAATATAAAATAGGAAAAACACAACCACTCTGAAAAAAACAAAGCCACTCTAATGTGATAAACAAGAACTTTGTCCTGGTAGTCAAAGTTATCTTTGTCATTTTCATTGCTTCTCTCTTGTGCTATATTTCCTCCTGTACTAGAAACCATATATTAGTGATGATTTGTGTGGCTCACTTTGTCTTAATTTCTTATATGCCTTTTCAGGTATGACGCCTGTTTGAATTTGCTTTCCATGAGAAGTAATAGAAATGGCTGGGAATATAGTTAGAGAGATAATTTACAACGATTTATAAAACCAAGATGCAGCACCTGCTATACTCTCACGTAAACTTGGTTCTTTTGACAACCACTGCATTGAACTATTTCAGGTTACTAGAGACCAAGTCTGCACATTGAGTTCATACCTTAGTGAGTTTGACTCTGCTAGATTCTACCAGACAACTTCCAAAGCTTTTGAATCAAGTTCTGACAGCTGAATAGCTCTGGCTTGCTTCTATGGATGGTAGAGCCAACTCACCATAGCTCTTAGTAATGGGGCACAGGTGTGGAAATCGGCCTCCAGGCAAAGCTTCAGATTCTCGAATGGATGAATGGACAAGTGTTTCATTCCTATTTCAACCCCTGTTTCTAGCCCCTTTAGAGAAATGAAGAAGCCTGGTATAGTGGTGAAAATAAAGGCTCTGGAAACATACAGACTTATATCCTGAGTAATCTTAGTAACTTTGATTTACTCAATTTTTGTTTCATTGTCTGTATATGGGACCAATAATAACATACTAGTATTATGATGTTAGACAACAGTTCTGTAAAGTGTCTAGGAAATTATTTGATAGTTAAACTGTAGTCAAGAAGTAGGATAGCTTGGCTTTTTATTTACTTGGGGGGGGGGGTGATACATTTTCTTGCAGATACACACTTAATACTAGATTCTGAGCTAATTCACTTTGCTCATGTTGACCTTTATCTCCTTGAAAACTTTCTTCATTCAACAAATGTTTATCTAGCACTTTCCATGTTTCAGGCACTATTAGGCCCTGGGGATATAGTGTAGAACAAGTTAGCAAAGGTTACACCCCTCTTGGAGATTATATACAACAACAAAGCTAGTTAATGGAATAACTAGAGATGGGGAGTGAGCATGCTACCTTAAATAGGAAAGGCCTTTCTGGAGTCTTTTCTGAGCAGAAAGCACACTAGAAAGCCAAGTGATCAAGACTTGGAAAAACATTTCCTTTGCATGACATTATTTGCCTGCACTGGGCCTATGAGGGCAGACAACTGCAGAGACCTGAGGCTTGGTATCTCAGGTAATCATTCTACCTTTGACCAATTCTGGTTGGGAAGGATGCAAACCAAACAACAAGGCTGTTGCTCTCTGGCAGCAAGTTTCATGATGGAAATAATGCTACCTGCTAGTAAGACCACTAGATTTTTGGTGTCTGGTGATGAGCGCTATAAACTTAAAAAAAATAGACTGGAAAGTTAAGACAAGAATCCCATGTAGCAAGTTATGCAACTAGAGGCAAGGCAAAATATTCTTCATTTTCTATCTGTTGTGGATTGTCTGTCATCAATTCACAACATAATAATCACTGTAATCAATCATCATACCCTTCCCATTTCGTCTAGGTCAATGGGAAGAAGCTTACCACTGTATATCCTAGAATCCTATTCCTCATAGATTCCCTAGCTACAGTGAGTGAGAGGCTCCTGAGTGAAGTTTGGAAGGTGGAAGGGAAATACATGCCATTATTCTCTGGTTCATGTTAACAGTTTCCCTGAGCTACCGAAGATTCCTAAGTAGCTGAGGTAATGGGCAGTGCTTTTCCTCACCATTTGTGGTTTCCTCTGAAAATCAATCACTTTGATCTTGAAAGCAGCTGGGATCATTGACTCCAACTTGTTGGCAATTACTTCGAGATTTCTTAAAAGTAATCTCCTAAAAATTTCCTCACTCCTCCCACCTTAGCCCTCATGCCAGTCATGTAAGCCTGTCATTCCTGTGTTAAATGTTTAGCTAATCAAAATATCTAGAGTGCCTTCTATATTTCTGCTTAAAGCTTGAATGATGTGCCATTCCTTATTCTTCATTAGTCAAAGTAACTTATTAGACAAGTAGACACTTCTCCAAAAAGTTGCTATCACTTATTAGGCATATGTGATATTCCACACATTGAGCTAACTGATTTATAGGCATTTTATTTTTTAATTGAGATAATTATGTATTTACATGCAATTGTAAAAAATAATAGAAAGAACTCCTATATACCCTTTATCCAGTTTCTTTCCATAACATTTTGCTAAACTACAATATCACAACCAGTATATAGATATATATCTATAGATATATAGATAATGATACAATCTACTTATCTTGTTCAAATTTCCCCCATTTTATGTGTATTTGTGTGTGTGTGTGTGTGTGTGTGTGTGTGTATTTAGTTCTAAACAACTTTGTCACATGTAGAAGGCTTGTGTGTATACCACCTGTATTAGTCCATTCTTATGCTGTTAATAAAGACATACACAGGACTGGGTAATTTATAAAGGAAAGAGGCTTAATTGACTCACAGTTCCACATGGCTGGGGAGGCCTCACAATCATGGCTGAAGGCTAATGGGGAGCAAAGTGACTTCTTACATGGTGGCAGGCAAGAGAGTTTGTATGGGGAAACTCCCATTTATAAAACCATCAGATCTTGTGAGACTTATTTAGTATCATGAGAACAGTATGGGGAAAACCACCCCCATGATTCAATTATCTATACTTGAACCCACCCTTGACATGTGGGGATTATTACAATTCAAGATTAGATTTGGGTGGGGACACAGTCAAACCATATCATTCTGTCACTGGTCCCCCCCAAATCTCATGTCCTCACATTTCAAAACCAATCATGGCTTCTCAACAATCCCCTAAAGTCTTAGCTCATTTCAGCATTAACTCAAAAGCCCACAGTGCAAAGTCTCATCTGAGAGTAGGCAAGTCGCTTCCACCTATGAGGCTGTAAAATCAAAAGCAAGTTAGTTACTTCCTAGATACAATGGGGGTACACTCAGATAGTGCTCCAGAGTTTTTGTCCTTAACAGTCCCAAGTCTCAGTGCTTTGCATACACTGTGATGGTTAATATTGAATGTCAACTTGATAGGATTGAAGGATGCAAAGTATTGTTCCTTGGTGTGTCTGTGAGGGTGTCACCAAAGGAGATTAATATTTGTGTCAGTGAACTGGGAGACACAGATCCACCCTCAATTTGGGTGGGCACCATCTAATCAGCAGCCAGCATGGCTAGGATAAAAGCAGGCAGAGAGTCATAGAAACACTGGACTGGCTAAGTCTTCTGGCCTCCATTTTTCTCTCATGCTGGATGCTTCTTGCCCTTGAACGTCGGACTCCAAGTTCTCACATCCAGGGCATGCTGATACAAGAAGTGGCCTCCCATGGCCTTGGGCAGCTCCACCCCTCTGGTTTTTCAGGGTGCAGCTCCCTCCTGGATGCTTTCACAGACTGATGTTGAGTGTCTGTGGCTTTTCTAGGTGCATGGTGCAAGTCATCAGTGGATCTACCATTTTGGGGTCTGAAGGATGGTTTGCCCTCTTCTCACAGCCCCACTAGGCAGTACCCCAGTGGGGACTCTGTGTGGGGGCTCGTACCTCACACTTCCCTTCTGCACTGCCCTAGCAGAGGTTCTCCATGAGGGCCCTGCCCCTGCAGCAAACTTCTGCCTGGACATTCAGACATTTCCATACATCCTCTGAAATCTAGGTGGAGGTCCCCAAATCTCAATTCTTGACTTCTGTGCACCTGCAGACTCAATACCACATGGAAGCTGCCAAGGCTTGGACTTGCACCCTCTGAAGCCATGGCCTGAGCTGTACGTTGGCCCCTTTTAGCCATGGCTGGAGAGTCTTGGATGCAGGGCACCAAGTCCTGAGGTGGCACACAGATGGGGAACCCTGGATCCACGCCAGGAAACATTTTTCCCTCCTAGGCTTCCAGGTCTGTGGTGGTAGGGGCTGCCAAGGGTCTCAGACATGACCTGGAGACATTTTCCCCTTTGTCTTGGTGATTAACATTTGACTCCTTGTTACTTATGCAAATTTCCACAGCCATCTTGAATTTCTCCTCAGAAAGTGGGCTTTTCTATTGCATCGTCAGGCTGCAAATTTTCCGAACTTTTATGCTCTGTTTCCCTTTTAAAACAGAATGCTTTTAACAGCACCTAAATCACCTCTTGAATGCATTGCTGCTTAGAAATTTCTTTTGCCAGATGCCCTAAATTAACTCCCTCAAGTTCAAAGTTCCACAAATCTCTAGGGCAGGGGCAAAATGCCACTAGTGTCTTTGCTAAAACATAGCAAGAGCCACCTTTGCTCCAGTTCCCAACAATTTTCTCATCTCCTGAACTTTAATGTCCATATCACTATCAGCATTTTATGCAAAGACATTCAACAAGTCTCTAGGAAGTTCCAGACTTTCCCCACATTTTTCTGTCTTCTTCTGAGTCCTCTAAACTGTTCCAACCTCTGCCTGTTACCCAGTTCCAAATTAGCTTCCACATTTTGGGGTATCTTTAGAGCAGCACCCCACTCTACCAGTACCAGTTTACTGTATTAGTCTGTTCTCATGCTGCTAATAAAGAGATAGCTAAGACTGGGTAATTTATAAAGAAAAGAGGTTTAATTGACTCACAGTTCCACATGGCTGGGGAGGCTTCCCAATCATGGCAGAAGGTGAATGAGAATCAAAGTCATGTCTTGCATGGCAGCAGGCAAGAGAGCTTGTGCAGGAAAACTTCCCTTTATGAAACCATCATATTTTGTGAGACTTATTCACTACCATGAGAACAGTATAGGAGAAACTGTCCCCATGATTCAATTATCTTCACCTGGCCTGCCCTTGACACATGAGGATGATTATAATTCAAGGTGAGATTTGGATGGGGACACAGCCAAACTGTATCACCACCACAGTCAAGATACTAAGCAATTACTTCCATCATGTTCTTAAGTGGAGCTGTAGATGTGCTTTTAAAGTTCAATCCTTCAGTGTCCCTATAGATTCTGTTGTTATCTCCATTTTGCAGATAAGAAAACTGAAGCTTAGACAGCCCATCACTGGTACAAGGTTGTGTAATTAATACATACCAGAATCAGAATTTGAATACAAGTTATCTAACATCAAAGCCAGTGGTCTGACCCAGTAGGCCAGTGGAGCTTCCAATGTCTCAAAGAATCTCTCTCTCTGAATTTTCCTTTTCTTTTTTGAGACAGAGTCTCACTCTCTTGCCCAGGCTGGAGTGCAGTGGTGCTATCTCGGCTCACTGCAAGCTCCACCTCCCGGGTTCACGCCATTCTCCTGCCTCAGCCTCCTGAGTAGCTGGGACTACAGGCACCCGCCACCACGCCCAGCTAATTTTTGTATTTTTAGTAGAGACGGGGTTTCACCTTGTTAGCCAGGATGGTCTCGATCTCCTGACTTCGTGATCCACCCGCTTTGGCCTCCCAAAGTGCTGGAATTACAGGTGTGAGCCACTGCGCCCGGCCCTCTCTGACTTTTCAAAAGAGAAAATAAGAGAGCCAGTCTTGGAAGTGAGCAACAAATGGGAGATGAATTATACTTTTCACATGCCTACTTCCCACTGGACAGCAATGATGTCTCCTGAGTGCTCCTTGTCAAATTTCTTCTTTCAATAACCTATACTACTAGTATACTAGTATTTTAATATTTTATTAAATATTTTTATTTTATATACATTTATATTTATAAAATGTTTTAAATATTAATCTTCATTATTTTAATGGTATTTTAAAAACCGTAAAAATACTCCAAATGTGTTCTTCTCTGTGACCTCTTAAGCCTTTGCCAGCACTGATCCTAACAATTGCTTGGAAAGGTGCTTCAGTTTGAACCATTGAGATGTATTACTCATTTCTTTTTCTTTCTTTTCTTCTGGACTTTCCAATGAACCAACCACTTTGACAAGAAATAATTTGACACCTCGTGGAATTTATGTCTTACTAAAAATGGTGTAGCTTTTGATGAGTTGGCAGTTTCTAAAGTCATGCAGACAGCAAACATACGTCTTTCTTAGAAACTACATTTGCAGATAATAGAAAAGTGCTGATAATGTGGGCTTCAAGTTGGATGTAGCTACCCAGTGAAAAAATCCCATAAATCTCAAAAATCTCAACAATATTTCCAACTCTCAACTATTGATAGTAATGGGGGTCTCAGAGAGCACAAATACTGTAATTGAAATCCATGGATAATCTCAAAACTTCATTCTGTCCAATCATTTCAGAGCCCTCTTGGGCTATACTCTTGACAGGAAGGGGTAACAAGTGGTCAGTGTGACCGATTTGGGTTTCATCTCTGTCTTCTTTTCTTGGCCCAGCCTAGCAGTGTGGGTGCTCTGCTAGGGAAAACAGTAAATGCAGGAAGCAAAGCCTGTCACTGAGGGACCAGGAGAGTAATTTGGTTCACGTCTCACAAATACAAAGAACTTCAATGACATCTTTTGATGATACTGTCAAATAAAGTTTTGTATACTCTCAGAGGCACACATAGGATTGAAAGAAAAGTATGTTCTTCATACATATTTCAACCTCTATGCCATTTTCAGAGCACCACCTCTCAAGTCTAGGTACCATCAATTAACATTTTTTTTACCTTCTAATATTATGGTGTGAATAACACAATTATACTGTGTTACTTTCATTTTGAAATGAGAAGCTTAAATTTGTTAGATGCATATCCTTAAAATAGTCAAAAAGTTCAAAACCTATCACTATCTCTTGGTTTTCTGTTTTGTTTTTGTTTTTATATGTATCAGGGCCCTGTCAAAGTGCATGTGATTTGTGCCCTGGAAGAAAATTTAAGAGAATTTAAGGACTAGATAATCATATCTTGACATCACAGTAAAGTACATGGTTATTTTTACTTTTAAAAGACAGAGGCTGCCTATTAAATGTTTACTATAATGTTCACAACTTTATCTAGTTTCTGGAACATTTACTGAAAAAGATTCTGTCATTGATCAAACTACTCAGGCTCCCCTGAACTCTTTTTTCAACTGGACCTGACTTTTGGATTTCCATGTTTGTCTCTGCATTTTCCCGTTTTAGCAAGAATTTGCTAAATCAGTTTAGCCAGAACCCCCTGCCCTTGAAATCTGCTCACCCTTGAAACCAGGTTCCCCATCCTCTAGCATCTCCTAGGTTATGTCTGAGGAACCTGGTCTGCCTTCAGGAAAAATCCTGTTAAACCAGTTTAGCCAGAATCTCCCCTTACCCCTGATGTTTCCTCTTGGTAATTTTCTATCTGCTGACCTCACACTGCTCCTTGGCTGTAAATTCCCATGCTACATTTGAAGTCGAGTCCAAGACCCCCTTGCAGTGGTCTTCACATCTATCATCATGGCCCACCTTGAATAAAATCTTCCTTACCACCTTTGACAAGCATCATTGAATAATTTCTTCTTTAACATCATCTACCCGTAACCATTGTTGTGGGAAGTCAGGGACCCCAAATGGAGGGACCTGCTGAAGCCATGACAGAAGAACATAAACTGTGAAGATTTCATGGACATTTATCACTTCCCTAATCAATACTCTTATAATTTCCTATGCCTGTCTTTACTTTAATCTCTTAATCCTATCATCTTCTTAAGCTGAGGATGTATGTCACCTCAGGACCCTGTGTTGACTGCATTAACTGCACAAATTGTTCGTAAAGCATGTGTGTTTGAACAATATGAAATCTGGGCACCTTAAAAACAGGATAACAGCGATTTTCAGGGAACAAGGGAGATAACCTTAAAAGTCTAGCTGCCTGTGGGCCGGGCAGGACAGAGCCATATTTCTCTTATTACCGAAAATGGGTAAGAGAAATATCGCTGAATTCTTTCCCCAGTAAGGAATATTAATAATTAACAGCCCTGGGAAAAGAATGCATTCCTATTCGTACACTCCCTCCCCTTTGAAAATTGGCTAATAAAAACTTGCTGGTTTTACTGCTCATGGGGCATCACGGAACCTGCCGACATGCGATGTCTCCCCTGATACCCAGCTTTAAAATTTCTATTTTTTGTACTCTTTCCCTTTATTTCTCAGACCGGCCGACACTTAGGGAAAATAGAAAAGAACCTACGTTGAAATATCAGGGGTGGTTCCTCCGATAAACCATGATCTTAGTATGACTGCCCCTTGGTCAATGAGCTAATGTTAAAATAAAAATATTGAAATCAGGGGCTATTAGGGTCCGAGAGGACTTGAAAACAGTGTTTATCATCAGGATATAAGCAGTTCAACATTAGGATGGGAGTGTGGATAACTGGGAGGGCTCAAGATTTTATGCTGGGACCCAGTGTTTCAAGGGATGTTCATACAGGACCGAGTACTTCAAGGGGTATGGGCTTTGGCAGGTCGTTAACCTTCTCTGAACACTTGAAAAGTGGAGATGGCAATATTTACATTTTAGTATTGCTATAATTTAAGAGAAAATACATGTATTGTTTCAGTCAAGACAGGCTGAGTCACACCATCAGAATAAACAATCTTCTGACCTCAGAGGCTTAAAACAAAGTTTTATTTCTCACTTCTATGCCCACTGTAGATTAGCTGGGAGTTCTGCTCCATTTCATTTTTGTTGATACTCTGGAAATTAGAGCAACAGATCAGCCACTATCTGCAACATTGCCAGCTACTGTGGCAGAGGAGAAACTCTCTGTATGGTCACAAATTAATAAATAATGCTTTACCGAGAAGTGAAGTATGCCAACTCTACTCATACCCAGCCCAACCTCAAGAGTGCCAGGAAATTCATAAGCCTATCATGTGCCCAGAAGTAGAAGAATAAGTGCAATATTTAGCAACAAGTTCAAGTACAAAGCCTGATACACTCAACAAATGATAACATCTACCATAACAATTATACAATACAGTCAGTTCTCAATAGGCAGATATCCAATCGTCTTTTGTTACAGTTGTGTGTGGAAGACAGGCTGCCTGCAATTCCCTCCCCTATCCCACCCCTTACTCCCCTGCCTAGTGTATTATCTTCTTTTGGTAACTTATTCCCCAAGTTTTTGTTGTATACATAATTTCCTAGCAAACAGACAACATTTTTCAGTTAGGAATGTTCATGTGACTAAGAGCAAATGGATATAAGTAGAATGGTTGTCCTTCAGAGGCCATATCCCTCTCTGTCTTTTCTCTTTCCTGATGGTTAGAATATGGACCTGTGGCTAGAGACGAAGTGGCCACCTTGTCCAGTGAGTTAACTTTGGAACAGATTTCACCAGCAGGAGAGCAAGATAGAAGACCCACTATTCTAGTTCTGAAATATCTGCATCTAGACTTTAACTTCAGAAATAAATTTCTAAGTTATTTCACTCACAGCTACTTTGGATTTCATTGCTTCTTTCACTTTTCAATTATGAAGAACTGGACAGGACCTAGCAAATTTACACACAGATATATTAATTAGAATGCATTTGGCTGCAAGTAATGGAACATCCAAATTAATAATGACTTATACTCTTTAGACACCTACAGCTGTCTAGTCATAGATGGTTATATAGTTTTGATGCTCAACAGACTCAGATTCTTCCTGTCTTTCTAATCTGTGATCTTTAGCATGTTGAGTTTGGTCACTATATGGTTACAAGGTATCTGCTGCAAAGCTAGTTGTTCCCAGTAGTATTCAAGGCACAAAGAGGAAAGAGGATCTCTGTTATCTCTATTTTTATCAAGAGGTAATAACATTTACTGATCTTTATCACTGATCTCTGCTCCTCTCCCCTCCCATCCACCCAGCAAAGAAATTTCTTCTTTAGTATCTAGAATAAAGCCACATGCCCACGCCTAAGCCAATCACTAGCGAAGGGGATTGGAATTATTTTGTACGGTTTAGGACTTCATGACTCATCTTCCAGGCTAGAGAATGGACTGTCCTTCTCTAAGTATGCTGCTGCCCAAATAAAATCAGAATTCTGTAGATTAAGGAAGAAGGGGGAAACAGTATCTGCCTCAGCAGTTAAAGTATCTCTGATTTCTTCTCTCCTTTGGCACTTAGCAAGTCATGCAGTGTCATGCTTATTCTAAACATATGGAACTACAGAATGAAAGGGTAGAGAGGAAGGATATCTTACTACTACCCTGCCTTTCATCCACCCTCCTACCTTCAGTTTATTCTCCAACAGCAGGCATTGGCTACATTACTTTTTAAACAAATCATATAATGTCACTACCATTGCTTAAAACCCACCAAAAATGTGCCATTGCCTAGATGAAAATATCTACAGTTTTGACTGTCCTCTACAAGACCCTGCACTATGTGACCCTGGCTTTCCTCAGTTCTACATCTCATGCCACCGTCTCCTTTCACTGCTCCAACCAGAAGGGGCTTCTGATGGTTTTCCAAGAGTTATGGACTCATTTTCACCTTGGAGATTCTGAACCTGCTGTCATCGCTCCCCACAAAACTTTACCAGATGGGATCCTCCTTGTCCATTCCAAGTATCTTCTCTGAGAGACCTTCTCTGGCCATTCAATCTAAAGGAGCTCCCTCCATTCCAACTCTCTCTCTACCTGGTTTTGTTTTCCTCATTGTAATTTCACTATTTGAAATTATCTTAGGAATGCATTTATATTCTTTTTGCATTTTCATTCACTGTCCTATCCCCACTAGACTGCAAGCTAAAAGAGAGCCAGGGTTTTGTCTGTTTTCTTTGTCTACAAAGCTCCAGCAAATAGACCAGTCTCTGGTACATGGTAGGTGCTCAGCTGATGAACAGAAAGTTGGGCTATGCTGGAAGTATTCTTCCCTGCTTGGCTAAAGACAATGGCATAAAATCAATGTTCCTTTGTCTATAAAAATGAAATAACATCCTACCTCATCAAGAGTATGTTGATTCAAATCTATAAAGGGTCCTATAAAACAGTTATTTTGAAATTAATGTAAAAAGTTATCCATTCATTTAATGAGTAGATTTTAATCCATGTAGCTCACTGAATTTGTCTAAATCTGACTTAAAAATTGTTTTTTATTACAGTCTCCATTTTACTCAAGATGGCTGTTCAGGAGGCTATGTAATTGCCTGTAAATGCTATGGTCCATAATTCAGTAGATATGGAACACGGAGAATAAAACTGGAATACCATCCTCCTTCCAAATTTATAAAAAAAACAAAAAACTGTCATAAGATTTTGACTTCACCCAACATGACACCCAACATCAACTAGCAAAGCTTCTCCTTGGGTATGTGGACATGCTCACTATTTACATGGAGCTTTTCTTTTCTATGAAAATTTGGAACACAGGACATGGATCAAGATTCATTGTGGACATGGAAAGGGAGTTTATAAGTAACAAAGATGGAGTAGAGAAGTTACACAACACAAAAGGCAAGGATAAGTGGGGGCGGATCCTGAGAGAAAATCAAACTGATTACACAGTGATAATTCCAATATGCTTGTCAAAAAAAGTGCTAATGAAAAAACTGAATAAAATAAAACTTTTTGATGAAAACCTTATAAGTGACAGCATCTTAGTTGCAAGTTGTTTAAATCAGTTCTGAAATGAAACAGTGGTTTTTCCACTATGCTCCAGGAAATAGATGCTCGCTAAATAACTTCTTTAACTTTTTTCTGACATCTATTGATTATATCCATAGAGATTAAGAGGAGACAGCAATTAAGTTTAAAATTTAATGGTGTTCTGCTGCTGTTAATTTACTGGCTGACTCTATCAATGTGTCAACTTGGATAGAAATCTATGCCCCCACCATCCATGTGCTAGAAAACTCTATGATGCCCTTTCAGCTAAAATTATAATAATCACAAGCAACCAAATAACTAAGAACTAGGGATCACACAAGGTCCCTGTAGAGAGTGACAACATTTGCCTATATGAGTTGCCCAATCTACATTTTTAAAGAGGCCACTTAAATTGAAAATAGCAAGCCTTGAGAGTTGTTTTGTTTACCTTACTACTTTCCAATTTTGGAATTCACTAAATGGTAAACATATCACACTCACAACAAAAAGGAAGCTTTTCCTACCAATGACAGCTAAAATATGTATATTCCATGGAATTTCATTTTGCTTGTCAGGCAATGGAGTCTCTGATATATGTCATAATTAAATCTGGAAAAAGCCTGGTTACTATCAAAGGAGATAATTCCACGTAACATAAAACAGCATATTAGGTAAGCCTAAAATTATCAGTTTACTCTATGACAAGGAACTATCCTGATGATATGACTTAAGACAAAACTAGTAGTAATCAGATATAAAGTAATGAAAAGGAACTAGAATATCTTATTTTCTATAGAATTTATCTGGAATCAGTTACTATATTAGTCTTTTCTCACACTGCTAATAAAGACATAGTCAATACAGCATAATTTGTAAAGGAAAGAGGTTTAATTGACTCACAGTTCCACATGGCTAGTGAGGCCTCATGATCATGGTGAAAGGTGAGTGAGGAGCAAATTCACGTCTTACATGGTGGCAGGCAAGAGGGCATGTGCAGAGGAACTCCCATTTATGAAACCATCAGATCTCATGAGACTTACTATCATGAGAACAGCACAGGGAAGACTTGCCCCCATGATTCGATTACCCCTCACCAGGTCCATCCCGCGCCATGTAGGAATTATGGGAGCTACAAGATGAGATTTGGGTGGGGACACAGGCAAACCATATCAGTTATCTATTATGTTTGCCAAATTTTATTTCTTTTTAATTATATATTTTGAAAAATATAAGTGTAGATATATATTTAGGAATACTCAAAATACAGCAAAATACAAATAAAAAGCCAAAAATCTTCTAAGCTTTTTGTCTTTTTTATCTGCCATTGTACTGAGAATTTTCCAGAGTTTTCCAAAGTGTAACTTTTAACAGTGAAAATGTATTCTGTTTTTATCAATGCCTCACAATCACTAACTGCATTATTCCTGCATAGTTTGATTTTCCCCCCACTTTTCCTAAATAAACATCTTTGTTGCAACCCAGACAACAGCTCCAGGAGTGACTGTTTCTTTTCTCCAAAGGTATTTAACCCATTATATATTAACAGCCGAAAGTGCTACCAGAAAACTGGGCATAAGTCACAGGGTGGAGTATCAGAAAATCAGTGGAGATGGACATGTCTATGGTCTTGTCCTGAGTCCTAGGACAGAGCAGCCAGAATTGCCTTCTATAGGAAAGACAACTGGGACTACAGGCAACTGTCTTCTGCTTGAGGACAGATGAACATAACTGAGACAGGGTTTCATTCTTACTGACATCATGGTGATATGTTGTGGTAGGCTTGGGTTCTGCCTAACACTAGAGTTTCCTTATGAAAGGAACATAGAAATATGGCAAGGGTGGTATACTAATTGAAAGCTTCAGTCCCTCTTCAATTTGTCACCTCTACTAAGATTCAGTGAGAACAGCCAGAGCGGCTGAGAACAGATTGGATGCTGGTAGGGGAAAAATAATTGGATCACATAGCCAGGTCCAACTAGCTAAAAATCTCTAGATGGGATGGATATATACATACATACATATATATATATATATATATGCACTTTCATTGGCCTGGGTTCCTTCAGGATATCCTGGCCAGGTTTGTTTGTTTGTTTGTTTGTTTGTTTGTTTGTTTTTTGGCAGAGTCTCACTCTATCACCAAGGCTGGAGTGCAGTGGCGCAATCTTGGCTCCTTGCAACCTATCTTTCCTGGGTTCAAGTGATTTTCATGCCTCAGCCTCCTGAGTAGCTGGGATTACAAACATGCATCACAACGCCCAGCTAATTTTTGTATTTTCATTAGAGTCGAGGTTTAACTATGTTGGTCAAGCTGGTCTCAAACTCCTGACCTCAGGGGATCCACCCACCTCAGCCTCCCAAAGTGCTGGGATTACAGGCATGAGCCACCACACCTGGCCATGGCCAGGTTATTTGGACTCTTATCTGCCCTATCTTGGGCACTAAGAGCTGATCTTCTTTAGCTGTTTCTGGAGGAAGATTCCATTTTAAGATATATTTCTTTTCTTAAATATATTTTTTAAAATTTGAAGGAAAAGTTCTAGTCTAATGGGGTTCCCTATGTGTGATCCCCAGACTAGCAGCATCAGCATCACCTGGGAACTTGTTTGAAATACAGATTACTGGGCCCTAGCCCAGGTCTATGGAATCAGAACCTTTGCTGATGGGAGGCAGGAAGCAACCTGTGTGTTAACGAGCCACTCCAGGTACTGCCTTTTCTCATCTCTGGCAACTATGTAGGTGAATATTCACTCTCTGTTTCTCTGGGTTCCACTCTTAGGAAGGAGCGAGAGATGCTCTGAATCTATAACACAGAGAAGAGGAGGAGGATGTGCTCATAGAGATCTTACTTCTGAATTCAATTCTTAAAAATATAGTTCAATTGATTTTATTAGGATAGTTACGTTCCTGCTAGCATGTACCCTATACCATATTATGCTAAAAGTCTGTCTCTCCCCTGGACCTGAGTGGCAGTATTAAAAAAATAAAAATCCTTTATACTGAAGGAACCAGACCCTAGGTAGTGGATGCTGAAGAAAAAAACAAAATCTCCTGCCATCCTTGTATTGACATCTTCATGAGGTAAGACGAGAGGACCTGGATTTATCAGATGGTCTAGGATGGAACAGGATGCTCTAAAGTTTCCTTCCAAATCTGGAATTCTGAGATTTGAAGGGATGGGTATATTTTGTCCCATCCCTTTTTTAACTTCACTAATGCCACCTATAGCCAATTTTCAGCTAAATTTTTGCTGTTGGGAGAGAAGGCATTTTTTTTTTAAAGCCTCATTTTTCCTTTCCTTCTGAGACCAAGAAAAGCTATTTCTTAGCCATACTGGGAGATTGAAGGAACAACCATAAAGTAATTCTTTCAGAGATGATATGCAGTTGTCCATCTCTCAAGCCTCAATAAACGGCCTTAACACGTTTCCCTCATGATCTACCTAAGTAAAGGGTCGTTAATTACTTTGTGAATCTGAACAAATATTAAAAGCACAACCCAAGTTTAAGGGTAAAAAGCACAACATCTTTATTATAGTTTCTAGAGCTTCAGGTATCTCTGATTACACATGAGAAGTTTACCTTTGTTTATCAATTTCTTTTCTTTCACTGGGGATGATATTCATGAGTATTTGACTGGGATATCTTAAAGTGAAAGTCTTATATGGGTAAATAGGGAATTAGGGAAAAGGTGGCAATGAGCTCTTTGTATTGATTTTATCATTCGTTTCAAAGATGAGATAATACTTTCTATCAACTGCAAATACTTTCATTCAGCTCCCATAAAACTAGTATTAGTTTCATTTATTTTGTCCTCACAGTTAGGATTTAGTTATATTTATTCAATTCTCAGAACTTGTATTTTACAAAATGAACAGTTTAGTCTGAATCATTACTTATTCTTCTAGTGCGTTAAAAAACAGAACAAAAATAGCATTTCTTTAAAATGAGTCACTACTTAAAAATTTTTATTTATTTCTCTCTAAGATATAGCTTCTGAACTCAAGATCAAAGTATGGGAAGAATTTTTCCAATAACTTCAAGTGCTCTTAATGTTATAAAACCTGTCTACTATTTTAAAAAATAGTGTTATTGCTTATTGTCCTACAGGTTAAGGAAATTATTACTTGTAATGGATGTTGTGGGGTGCCACCTGATCCTCCCCACTCCCCTCTCAGGACAAGACACTCATTCCCTCAGCTCCTGCAATGGGAATTGCCCTCAGCTGATGAGCACTTCCTTGCCCAAAATGGTACCCCCCTCCCAGGGAGCACCCTGCACTCAATGACGGGCAAATGTGGGGATAGAATGGCTGCTTCTTTGCCTAAAGGAGAAAAACTCTGAAGAATTCTCGCTGTGAGAACAAGGCTAATGCTTTGCAATGACTGTACCACAATTCAGCTCCTTTTTCTGTAGATTGCTGTTTCCTTGCCCTGCCTCTCCCACAGATGTTGATCCTGAAGTCGTTACTCAATAAACCTCCCGAAAGTAAATCTGTTTTAGAGTCTGTTTCCCAGGGAACCTGCCCCAGATATTACTAAGTATAACTGGATTTACATTCAGGTTTGCCCTTTCTTATGGAAGTAGTGATACAGTTTAAAAAAAAAAAAAGTGGGAAGCACTGTTTAAAAATGTCTCTACTCCAAGCATGAAAGATTGTTTCCCCAGCAGTTCAAAGTGACCTTCATATGGAATGTTTGTACATAAGACATCTGGAAATGTCATAACAGTAGTTGCCAACATGTTATTTATTTCCTGTTGAGAATCTAAAAAGCCACTTTGGGAAAAGTGGGATGACTAATAAACTTAGAATCAGATTCCTGTGTCTTAGTACTGGATTCTGAGTTGATGACTTTGGACAGACTGCTTAACTTTCCTGAGCCCTCTTAGAAATTATAAAACAATGAACAGGTATATGGTTCTCATGAAAAACAAGCTGCAATTCTGGCTTATCAAATGTCCATGTACTAATTCATAAAATGCTCCTGTAGTAGAATAAGACCAGATATGTTAGTTAGTTCTTGCATGATATAATAAAACTACCTGAGACTGGGTAGTTTATAATGAGGTTTAATTGGTGTATAGCTCCACAGACTGTACAGGAAGCATGGCTGTGGAGGCCTCAGGAAACTTTCAATCATGGTGGAAGGTAAAGTGGAAGCAGGCATGTCCTACATGGCTGGAGAAGGGGAAATATAGAGAGAAGGGGGAGGTGCTACATACTTTTAAACAACCAGATCTCATGAGAACTCTCTTACCATCGTGAGAACAGCAAAGGGAAAATCCACCTCCATGATCCAGTGACTCCCCACCAAGCCTCTCCTCAGCACTGGGGGCTATAATTCAACATGAGATTTGGGTGGGGCCATAAATCCAGACCATATCACCAGATCATTAAAATGTCTAATGGGTTCATCCCATGAGCTTACCCATGAGTGATAGGGTAAACTATTTCAAAGTATTTCAAATCATGGTCTATGGGACAATGTCATCAGAATCACAAGATGTTTGTTAAAACATCTTGGATCTCATTTATATGCGGACTCTAAAAAAGCTGAACACATAGAAGCAGAAAGTAGAATGGTAGTTACCAGGAGCTTGGAGAAGGAGGGGACTGGGAAGATGCTGATCAAAGGATAAAAAATTTCAGTTAGAAATTGAAGAGATCTATCATATAACATGTTGATTATAGTTAATGACAATGTATTATATTTTTGAAAATTGCTAAGAGAGTAAATTTTAGGTGTTCTCACCACAAAGAGTGATAAATATGTGAGGTAATGCATATATTAGCTCAATTAGACATTCACAATGTTTATGTTTTTCAAAACAACATGTTGTAGTTGATATACAGTTGGCCCTTGAGCAACATGAATTTGAACAGTGCAAGTCCACTTGTGTAGGTTTTTAAAAATAAATGTATTCAAAACAATTTTTTAGACATGTGACAATTTGAAAAACTAGCAGATGAACTACGTAGCCTAGAAATAGCAAAAATGTTAAGAAAGTTATGTCATGAATGCATAACATATATTTAGAGAGTAGTCTATTTGATCATTTACAACCATAATATATGCATAAATCTATTATAAAAAGTTAAAATTTGTTAAAATTTACACACACACTTACAGGCCATACATGGAGCCATTCACAGTTGAGAGAATATAAACCAAGATAAACATGCACTATTAATCCTAACTGCATAAAATTAACTGTAGCACATAGTATACTACCATGTAATTTTGTAGCCCCCTACAGTTGCTATTGCAGTGAGTTGAAGTGTTACAAGTACCTACTTAAAATGCCATGTGACTCTAATTATCTCCAAGTGAACAGTACATCTCTCCAGTAAATTGCATACTGCAGTAAAAAGTGATCTCTTATGGTTCTTCTGAATTTTTCATCATGCTTAGCGCAGTATCATAAACCTTGGATAACACCATGGGACCCATACGAGGTGCCACTAGTGATGGTTGAAGTGTTCCTAGGAAACAGAGAAAATTCATGACATTACAAGAAAAAGTTGAATTGCTTGATTGAGGTCTGCAGCTGCAGTTGCCTATCATTTCAAGATAAAATGAATCCGGCTTAAGGACCATTGTAAAAAAAGAAAAAAGAAAAGTGGGAAGCTGTAGCTGCAACTATGCCAGCAGGCGCAAAAGCTTGCATTTTTTGCAAGATACCTTTTCATATCATATTGAAATGAAGCTTTTATATGGGTGCAAGATTGCTATAAGAAAGCCATACCCATAGACTCCAATGTGATTTGAGAAAAACAGAAGTCATTACCTGACAGCGTAAAACAAAAGGAAGGTGAAAGATCTAAACCTGGAGAAATTAATGGCAGCAAAGGATGGTTTAATAGTTTTAAAAAGAGGTTTGGCTTAAAATATGTCAAGATAACAGGAGAAGCAACTTCTGCTAACCAAGAGGCCGCAGACCAATTCTCAGATGCTGTTAAACAAATTTTTGAGGAGAAAGAGCATCTGCCTGAAGAGATTTTAAATGAAGATGAAAGTGTCCTATTCCAGGGGAAAAAATGCCACAAAGGACATTTATTGGTAAGGAACAGAAGCAAGCACCAGGATTTAAGCCAGGAAGCTAACTGTATTGTTTTGCGCAAATGCAGTTGGGTTTTTATCAAGATTGCCCTTATATATAAAGTTGCTAACCCCTGAGTCTTGAAGGGAAAAGATAAATACCAATTTCCAGGCTTTTTGTTGTGCAAGAAGGCCTGCACAACAAGAATCCTTTTTATCTGAATTGGCTCCATTGATGCTTTGTCCCTGAAGTCAGGAAGTACCTTGCTAGTAAATAATTGCCTTTTAAAGTTCTTCTAATATTGGACAATGCTCCTGGCTACCCAGAATTCCATTATTAGTTCAACACTGAAGGCATCAAGTAATCTACTTGCTCCCAAACACCATGTATTTAATTCAACCTTTATATAAGGGAGTCATAAGGACCTTTAAAAGGCTCCTTAAGCGTGACACTCTATAAAAAGTTTGTCAGTGCTATGTAGGAGAACCCTGAGAGAGAACACAGTGAAAGTCTGGAAGGATTACACCATTGAAGATGCCATTGGTGTTACAGAAAAAGCTGTGAAAGCTATCAATCCTGGAACAATAAATTCCTGCTGGAGAATGTATAATGTATCCAGATATTGTACATGACTTCACAGAATTCATGACAGGGCCAATCAAGAAAATCTTGAAAATGATCATGTATATGGCAAAAAAAAAATTGGGGGATGAAGGGTTTTAGGATACGGATCTTGAAGAAACTCAAGAGCTAATGCACACCAGACCAGAGGAATGAATAGAAGACAAATTGATGGAGATGAATGCATCGAAACCTGATGATGAGGAAGAAGATGGAGAAGCAGTGTCAGAAAACAAATTGACCTTGGACAGTCTGGCAGAAGCATTCCAATTATTGAAGACTGCTTTGACTTCTTTTATAACGTGGGTACCAAAACTAAAGCAAATGGTGGGTAGAGAATTGGTTCTATATAGAAACATTTTTAGAGAAATGAAAAAGCAAAAACATCAGACAAATGTTATGATGCATTTCTGTAAAGTTACATCAAGTATGCCTGCCTCTCCAGCCTCCCCATTCCACCTCCTCCAACTGCCTTTGCCTTTTCTACCCCTGAGACAGCAAGACCAAGCCTTCATCTTCCTCCTCCTCCTCAGCCTAGTCAATATGAAGATGAGGAGAATGAAGAATTTTATGATGATCCATTTCCACTTAAGGAATAATAAATGTATTTTCTCTTTCTTATGACTTTAATAATATTTTCTTTTCTCTAGTTTACTTGATTGTAAGAAAACAGTGTATAATATACATATAATATGCAAAATACATGTTATCGATGTTTTATGTTATCAATGAAGCTTCCAGTCAACAGTGGGCTATTAGTAGTTAAGTTTTGGGGGAGTCAAAAGTTATAGATGGATTTTTGACTGTCTAGGGGATTGGTGCTCCTAACCCTGTGTTGATCAGGAGTCAACTGTATACATTTATTTGTCAATTAAAAAAATGAAAACAAATAAAAAATGCAGATTCCTGGATGCCACCCTAGCCTACTGAATCAGAATAGCTGGGGGTTGGCCTTAGGGACATAGCATTTTAAGTGAACATTTTTGGTAATTCTTATGCAACTTGTAATGAAGAATAGAAGAATAAGTGTGGGTGTGGAGGCTCAAGGAGGGAAAGGAAGATCTGAAACAGTAGCTGTTATGGACCAGCAACAACAGTAACAAAAACTTGTCACTAAGAGCTCAGATGAGGATGGAAGAACTGGTCCTTACATAGTGTCCAAATGGCTCAAGATTTCCAACCCTTCTTAGAAGCTCAGGAATAGGCATAGAGGTAAGGGATTCCTCTATTAATCCAGAGCTCTGGGCTATATCAAACAGGATACAGTGGAGAACTATAGATATGGGCTTCCAAATTCACAGTTCTTGTACAAGGCTGTTTCAGATAGCTGACCCTAAAATCTGAGAGTGGGAAGGAAGGACATCAAGGCCAGCTGGGATGTGATAGGCTGGGGAATAGGTTGGGGACAATGGGGCTCAAAATGCTAGTAAAATCAAGTTCAGTAGAAGCAAATGAATAGATGGGGTGAAAGGAAGAAGAATTCAAAGACAGGGAAGAATATTTAAGGGACTTAGTACATATGATGATCCTGTATTTCTTATAGAAATAATGCTGGAGAGCCTGGAAAAGCTGCCACTATTCTTTTATAATTCCTGTGTCAACTACTGTAGGTTCTCACATTGTGAAGTTGCAGAATCTTCATTTAACAACACAATTGCAGTCAGTGCTATAAATTTACAAGTTGCTGTAGGTGCCCCATTGGTACAGAACATCTGTTAACCTGCTTCAACTTCCACGGGATGTGCAAAGAATTAATTTCTCATTTCAGCCCTTCTCCTTAAGCCTTTATTTACTCAGATTCACCCGAGAGTGAAGTTCAGATTTCCAGCAGAGTGTCAAGGTGAGAGGCCCTAGAAGTTACTGCATCTTTATCAATAAAGAATATGCATGCAGAGGATTATGGGAAATATGAAAAGCTCAGCTGCAATGTAAACCTTGTAGCTAATTGTCATTTAAATCATGGCGTTGATGAATAACATCCCAGGAATAAAATGAGCATTCACCCTGACAAATAGTTCCTCAAAAATTATCTAACACAATTTCGGCATATTGCTATTTGTCAAATTATTCCTTTGCCAGATGCTTACACAGAATCTGTTGCCCATTGCCAAATGGCCTAGCTGTACATTTTCTCATTAGATAGAATTGATATTCTATGCAGAGAATGTATCAAATATAATTAAGAACAAAGAGATTTGTATTTGCATTTTCCATCTACAAAACCACTACATACCTCCTCTCACCTGGTGGTTCAAGCCCATATATATGCCATCCTCCTCATTTGGGGCATCCAGAAGCCTCCAGACTTGCTGAGGATAGTGTTACAGCTTGCATTTTGATCAGAACAGGAATGAAAAGTGACTTGAAGAAGAATTGCATTTACAACATGCACCATTTTTGTCATTTTGGAAACATGCTGCATTTTCTGATTGCAGACATTTTCACATCCTAATATAGGACCTGTCAGTCCCCAGCACAAATTAAACAAGGGTGAAAGGAGTCTGCAATGGCTCTCTTGTCAAGACAGAGGGTTTGGGGCACTACCTCTGACCTACTCAAACCCCATCATTCTTAAAAAGAATTCAAAAATCTGGAGTCGGGTGACTCTCGAGGTTAGTAAGCGCTTATGTCTCTGGAGATTAATTCATTTTTTGAATCTTACTGAAATAAAGCAATTCTATAGCAGCAAGGAAAAAAGCCCCAAGTATCTAGCAACACTGTAGTGTTTCAAATGAATTTATATTATCATTCAAAGAGGCGAGTAGATGAGCCCATGATTGACAACTACAGTTTTCAACATTTACAATTCCCTCTTCAGGGATATTCAGAATCGATTGAAAAAGAATGCAGTGTTTAGGAACTACTCAGGGGTACTTTCAGTAAAAATGCCTTAAATAATGATTGCCCAAAGCTTGCCAGACACTTTGTAAATGTCAGAAACACATTAAATATGTTAAATGGGCATGTTCAATATCTAGAAAACAACACAAATGATTTACAATCAATTTCACACATGCCCTGGATGCCTCCCTGATGGAAAACAAAGACATCCTCTTTGACTGGGGCACATGATTCCAAGTGTTCATTTTGGTATAGAATTCAAACTCACATGGCTGCTTGACACAATATAGGGCATTTTCCATGGCTGAGTAAGCATAGTAGTAGACATGTTCTTACCAGGTTTTTTGTTTGCTAGTTTTTTTTTTTTTTTTTTTGAGAGAGAGTTTTGCTTTGTCGCCTAGGCTGGAGTGTAGTGGCGTGATCTCGGCTCACTGCAACCTCCTCCTCCTGGGTTTGCGCGATTCTCCTGTCTCAGCCTCCCGAGTAGCTAGGACCATAGGTTCCTGCAACAACGCCCAGCTAATTGTTGTATTTTTAGTAGAGACGGGGTTTCACCATGTTGGTCAGGCTGGTCTTGAACTCCTGACCTCAGGTGATCCACCCACCTTGGCCTCCCAAAGTGCAGGGATTACAGATGTGAGCCACGGCGCCCAGCCGACATGTTCTAATAAAAGTACAGTGCATAAGAAAGCAATGTGGCTCCTTAAAACTAAATTCTCCTTTTAGACCACAACCGCATGTCCTTCAGGCCTTCTCAGGCCCTCCTTCTTTCCTTCCTTACTCTTCACCATCATGGAAGCATTCAGACCCTGGGTCCTTTTGTTTTCTCCCAGCCATCCTCCCCTCTCTTGGCCTTTCCTTCTATCCTGGGTGATCATCTGAACACCTCCCTCAGAAATCCATCCAGATTCCTTCACGGTTCCATCCTGTCATCACAGTGTCCAGGAAAACCTCCATGCAGAACAGCACAAAACTTGCTTGTCACATTAAATGTATGGTCTCCCACTTAAGTTAGGCCATCAGAACTGACCTTTAATCC
Organism: Homo sapiens; assembly: GCF_000001405.40. Lineage (NCBI taxonomy): Eukaryota > Metazoa > Chordata > Mammalia > Primates > Hominidae > Homo > Homo sapiens. The sequence continues at coordinate 68,451,857 of NC_000003.12, read as the reverse complement.
TTTTAGTATCAGCTAACTCCCTGTCTCATTTTGGAATGACCCATTTCATATCACCACCTCTCCCCTCCAGCCCGCACAACTCTTTCATTCTTAACAGATGGCTCTGATCCCTATGATGTGGAGAGAGTCTCATCTGTCAGTTTGGTCTTGTTGTCTTTCTGTCCAGTGTCTTCTCATGTCATTATACCTATACAAATCCCACTTCTGTTTTCACTGTTATACTTTTTTTTCCCCAAAATCAACCTCTTTTGTGCTCAGAATATTTTTGAATGTACAGATGGAAGGGGAAGATGACAGGGATATGGGGATATGACTTCAAGGAAAAGGCCTAATAGCCTTTTTTTCCTTTGTGATGCAGGACTGTCTTCAGCACCATCTCTTTCTCCCTCTTTTGAAACATCACTAAATTAGTCGTTTACTTTGTCTTGCATTCCTTCAAGTTCCTCCTCTACTGACAACCTCCCTTCAGTCTTATTAATATGCTCTAGTCTTTACCCTCTGGATATCAGTCAACTGCTCTCATAATGAATATTTCTGATGCATTCATTTAACAGACGTTTATTGAGGACTTACAAATTATGAGACACTATGGCAAAAAGAACTGTCTAGGCTTACAATATTTATTTTCCTATTGTCCTTATATTGCATGAGTGAGGTGGTCAGATGTAATTTTTTATCTAAATCTGGAAAATGACTGCTTCATAGCCTGGATATTGGGACAACGGGCATAAACTGGGCTACCCTATTTGTTACTCACTGCAATATGAAAAGATAGTTTCATAGTAATGAAGTCAAGAGCCTGGACTCTGGAGCTAAACTGCCTGAATTTGAAACTTTAATTCCATCACTTATTTGCTGTGTTTCTTCAGGAAAGTAATGTAACTTCATTTTCGTTCAGTTTCCTCATTGTAAAATGGGGATAACCAAGGTGCCAATCTCATAAGATTGTAGTTTCAAATGAGTTACAATGTAAAGGGAGTTTAGTTGCAGTAGAGATATAAGCACAACATCAGATCATAATTACATAACACTTGCTACATGACTACAGACATGACTACATTACTAGAGTCATGTAGTAAGTGTTATATGTAATTAGGATCTTGTGTTGTCCTTATAACTCTACTGAAATTCACTAAGAGCAACTATACATTTCAAATTTCCAAAATGTTGGGACCCCCTTTTCTTCATATTTTATTGCATTTAATACTTCTTAAAAATCTACTTCCTTGGTCTCCATAACACCTTCATCTCTGGATTCTTTTCACTCTTGTGCAGTGGTGTTTGGAGGGTCCTTTTAATGGGATCTGATCCTTAAAATACACTGTTGCCTGGGCACCTGCCCATGAGCCATTCTTGAGCCTCAGGCTCTCCTTGAGTGATAGAATTCACTTTCATGGCTTCACTTACCAACAGACTGAGGCTCACTAGTTAAATTCAAACTTGTAACTCAGACCTCTTTGTCTTCAGGCTCATAAATCCAATTTTCTGTTAAACATTGCTAAATATATGTCCCAACTTTATCTCCAGCTCAACATGTTCACAACAGATTCCATTCTCCTCACCCTAAATCTGCCTTTCCTTTCCTAGTCTTTTAGTTGAATGAATCATAAACAGCCTCCAAGTACAAACTAGAAAGTAGGCAAATCACTCTTTTCCTCTATTATCCTCAAAGCTAATGAATCATGAATCCCATGGTTATATTGTCTCCAATGGATTGTTTGACTGCATCCCTTCTTTCCATCCTCAGGACTACAATTTTAACTCCCACTCTTATCATTCCTTGTGTGGATCATGGCAATCATCTAACTGTTCTACCTGCCTCCAGTTCTGTCCCAAAAAACCCATTTTCCATGAGTCTGGCAGCCTGCGCTGTGCCTGGCAAAAGGGGCTGCATACACAATGTCCAGCTCCAGGCAGGTCCTGTGAGTGAGAAGAGCAGGCTAGAGTAAGGAAGGAAATATCTTTTCCGTTTTTCTTGAAGCATGTAGACCTTTTGTTTATTCACTTTCCCACTTTTACCAAAAGTACTCTGTACTCATGTAGACATGAATACAAAGAAATATATCTTCACCATAAGAAAAATGTGCTTTAAGCTTGATGATAAATGGCCACACTCATGTGGGCTCAGCATTGGCAAGGAAACAGGAAGTGGGGAGATTATAGCCACCTGAAGAGCCCATGTCTGCTCCAAATGGGACATCATTACTCAGATGCCATGTGCAATATGGACTCAGAGATATTAGATCTTTGTGTTTTTTTGGAGAGAGGGTAGTCTTCTTATTTTTAAATATAGGAAGAAGAAATTCAATATATTGGGCCAACACATATGTAAATTAGATTTTTCTAGGTCACCAATTTGCAATTTCTTTCTAAAACATAAGTTTGATCATGTAAATCACCTACTTAGAAGACATTAGGGTCTCGCATCCTCTGTAAAATACCGCCTACATTCTCTAACAAAGCAGCTAGGACCTTCTCTGTTCTCGCCCTTACCTCTCCCCTTTTGTCTTTGGTACTTCATGTTTTGGAAATGATGAAATGAGTCTCATTTCCTGCATACAAAGCCCATATCTTACTTCTGTGCTCTGTATGATGCTGTTCCCCGTAGCTGTAACATCAATACTTCTTTCTTTGCCTAATTCCTACTCAACCCTCAAGGCTTGGTACACCGCCTCCTGCAGGAAGCCTTCCCTGCATCTTTTCCGTGCATTTCTCTTTCACTGTACTTCACTATTTTGTGGAGATGTATCTGTTTTTCCCACAGTAGACTCCAATCTCCTTGAAGGTTGTATTTGTACCTTAGCATGGAAATAAATCTAGTGTGGACACACAGTAGGCAGCCAATGAAGCTGTGTTTTTTTAAACAGCACTAATGAAACCTGAGTAACAGGCAGCTCAAATTCTGATACTAACTTGTGGCTGCTTCTCTAACAGTTATTAAGATCTCTTAGAATTAACACAGTGTTTTATAGCCCACAATGTCATTCCAACTAGATTATTGTTTTTTCTTCTCTACATCAGTCTAATAAGAGAGGTTTAGTCCCATTTTACAGTGAGAAAATGAAAACCCAGAGACGTTAGCTGACTTATTCAGGTTACACAATTACAGAGAAGTTATTAAATTTCTTTCTACTGCCTTTCATATCCAGTTTTCCTCTTACAACATTAACAGTTGAAGTACTCAATGTACTTTGAAGTTTCAGTGGATAGACCCACAGGGTCTGTGGCCTTAAATAGAAAAAAAAAAAAATCACCTCTTTCCTTCCATTAACCTTTAACTGCAATTAAGCATCTCCTTCAATTATGAAAGAATGCAACAAACTACCCTTGAATTAGCAGTACCTGTGACTTTGTCACAAATAGAAATCACAAAGATTTTTATTTAACAGTACAGTCGTCGTATTAATAGAGTCATTGAAACATTGTTTATGCTCTTCATTATTTTAAAACTCTGGTTTCTATTAGACTCACTGATGGATCTTGTTATTTACTGTATTAATAAAGAAGTATGCATATTACTGTCTCACAAATTTACATCTAAAAATATTTTGAAAATCAGATTTCAATATAATTGATTTTATTAGTTGCCTTATATTTTTGCTTTATGCATTCAAAAACATTATCCTCAGAAGTTGTCTGTGGACCTTATAACACTGTTAAGGGCTCCAAGGCACAAAACAGTTTAAGAAGCCCTGAGAACTCCTCCTCATTTTGTCCTTTTACTAGGAGATGACCCCAGGGATGCAAATGTCTCTCACACACCCTACTGCTCTCTGGCAGAACTGCTCACACCCTCCACCAACTGCAGCAGAATTCCTGAGCTCACTTCTCAGCTCTGCCACTTAATAATACTGAATGTGTGGTGTGGGTAAATTATTTAACCTTGGTGCTTTATTTCTCTCCTTTGTACCTATCTTATAGGATTATTGCAGGATTAACCAACTTAATAAAGTGTTTAGATCCATATCTGGCAAGTCGTGCTGTACATGTTGATTCTTTTGTTTACTGCTTACAGCATTCTTTCCTAAGAACAGAATATAGCTTTCCTAGGCAGAACATTGCTTCAGAATACTTCCTCACACAGGCTTGCAGCAGCTACTAACAAGTGATCACAGTTCACTCAAGAGATGAAAATTATTTGCCAGCCTTGGCATTATTCAGTTCATGAGTCTGGGTTTGCTTCCTATGGTTTTTAGTTACACTACTCTGTGCAAATGTATATTTTTTAAAATTTTCAACTACCATCCACACCCATCTAACTGTTGTCTAGAGCTTTGGAATAAACCTTTGGCTTGTTAATGATCAGATCAGAAACTGGAGAGTTTTGGAGCAATGGTTCTGGAACAAGGACAATTTCTGTAGAGCAGACAAGAGTTCACTGGGGGAATGAGTGGATCCTGAGCAAGTGATGCATAGTGGATGAATTGAGTTATCAAATCTAGCAAATTTAGGGGAGGGAACTGCAGTGGACAGAATGGAGTAGCCAACAGTTTGGTTTTTAGACAGCCAGTCAATGACTGACAACCAGTCAATCCTGGTTCTAGCACTCAATAGTGAGATGAACTCGAGAAAGTTCTTTTAGTTTTCTACATCTCAGTTTTCCTCTCCATAAAATAGAATAATCTTACCACTAATCTTAGGAGGCTGCATTGTGTGTGTTGGAGCTGATAAACATAAATGCCTACAATAATACATGGCACACGTATGGATATTTAACAAATGCTAGCTCACTTTTCTTTACCCACTTTTAAAATATGGGGCATCATTCCAACATTATACAAATCCTTTAAAAATATCTTTTCCAAATGGTGACAGCAACTGACCCAACATTATGAAAGAGAATCTGATTCTCCAACTTTCACTGTTGGAAAACTCAGAAATGCAATGGATGGATAATTAGTGCCCCTAAGGTAAAGCACAGTACAGTGATCAAAGCCAAGAAGTCACTGGATTGATACAGATCTGTCCATTCTGACTACTCCACTCCACTGAAGATGACCTCATTAAGTAGTGATTGTATTCAGATTATTTGGTTCTATGCCATAGACACTTTGTTTCAGTTTCTGTGCTTTGGATGCAGATGACAGAGTGTGTCTAATTAACTGGACATGCAGTGAACAATTCATCAAATTGATGGAGCTTCTTTGTCACCTCAAAAGGGAAAGTTAACCTGTATGTCTTTTCTAGAAGCCATAAGTTTGAGAAGAAAGCTGATTTTGTGATTCTTTTTAGACATAAGTCTTCTGTCCATCTAGAATAAACTGGGTACTGAAGTGGGTAATTCAATTACCTTTAATTTTTATTATTTAATGACAGGCATATATAAATGATTTGTCCTTATAATTGAATACGCTGCTGGCAAACTCCTGCTAATATCTAACTCAAGGTATTGAAGGGAATTTATGTGAGGCTCAGATAGAAGGGAGGGGGCCAGGACTCTTGCTGTCTTCTTCCACACTCACCTCCCTATTCTTTATCTAGGGATCAGCAAACTTTTTCTGTAAAGGAACAGATATTAAGTATTTTTGACTTTGCAGGCCATATGCTCTCCATTGTGACTATTTATTCCTGCTGTCATAGTGTGAAAGAAGCTATAGATAATGCATAAATAAGGAAGGCTGTATTACAGTAAAACTTTATGTATAAAAATAGGCCAGGCATGGTGGCTCATGTCTATAATCCCAACACTTTGGAAGGCTGAGGTGGGAGGACGTCTTGAGGCCAGAAGTTTGAGAACAGCCTGAGCAACATAGCAAGACCCCATCACTACAAAAAATTAAAAAGAAAAATTAGCTGGCTATAGTGGTATGTGTCTGTGGTCCCAGCTACTTTGGAGACTAAAGAGGAAGAATTACTTGTGCCCTGGAGTTTGAGGCTGCAGTGAGCTGTGATTGTACCACTGCATTCCAGCCTGGGCAAAGAGTGAAATCCCATCTCTTAGAAAACAAATCAAAATAACAAACAAACAACAACAACAACAAATGTTAGGCCAGATAGGGTATGCAAAATGTAGTTCTCCCAACTTCTGCTTTAGGCTGTGGTTCTCAGAATGTGTTCTCAAGTACAGCAGCAGCACTTGGAAATTGTTTAGAAATGCAAATTTTTCATCCCTGCCCTAGACCTCTGAAGAAACTTTGAAGATGAGGCCCAATCATCTGTTTAAATAAACCCTCTAGGTGATTCTGATGCATGCTAATACTGGAGAACCACCGATTTAGGCCAAGGGGTCTTACATCTTATCCAAATAGAAGAATTCCCTCCTAGTCAGTTTACAGCTGGAACTCATTTCAAAAAATTTTCACGCTGAATGCTAATTTCAGTGTCTGCAACTGCATCAGTATTTATATATTTGTTCAATATAAATATCTATGGAGAATTCTTCAGAGAAAATTAGTTTGCCCATACTTCATTGCATAAATCATTTATTCATTTGTCGACTAATTAAAACAATATTCTTGTAAAGTAGATAATCCTTCAGTGCTGAATTCTACAAAAGTGCACGTCCTACCACTACACAAATTTGGATCAAACACTGTGCAATCAGAAGGCTTTCTTCCAACTAAATTGGAGTGGTCGTTATCACTTTCCCAAAATGCAAAAATAAAAATGGCAGAAATAGAAAAGGTACTATACATAATCTGCTAAGCAGATGTCACAGTAAACCAGCTAATTCTGCAGCAAAGAAAATAAAATGCTCAAAATGCAAAGTTTATAATGTATGAAATGTCTTAGAGATGTAAATATCAGCATGTCTAAGTTTTGTTTAATTATCTTTGGGTTATAACAAAAACTGAACACAGATATGGGCTCTATTCTCAAGATAACTGTCCATATTCTTTTTGAATTACTCAACCATCATTGATCAGTTAAATAAATATGTAATTTAATTAAACAATCCTGTGAAGTAAGTACAGCTACCAATATTTTGTAGATAACAAAATGTGGCATTCAGAAGGAATAGAGAAGTGCTTGAGATCATAGAAGTTATAAACGGAGAAGCTGGGATTTAAATCCAGATCCACTGTATTTATTTATTAATTTATTTTATATATATATATATATATATATATATATATATATATATATTTTGTAGAAACAAGGTCTCGCTGTGTTGCCCAGGCTGGTCTAAAACTCCTGGCCTTAAGTAATACTCCTGACTTGGCCTCCCAAAGTGCTGAGATTACACACATAAGCCACCACACTTGGCCCTGAGAGCCACTGTATTTAAAAGAAGAGCTAGCAGCAGCATTTTATATTACATGCATATAGAATACCCATATTCCTCCAAATATTCTTAGGGAGCTATAGTACAATGGTTAACTATTCACCCAAGATTTGTACTTCCTTACATGGTGTAGCATTGTTACTGGAAAGCTCAGCCAAGAGCTACAATTCCCAGGGTCCCTTCAGTTAGGTGAGGTATTGTGACTTCACCTGGACAATGTGAGAAAATAATGCTTGTCACACGAGAGTGACAGAGAAAAAGAAGAAGACTTGAGGACTCTAGGGAATTACATTGGATGTGATCACTGGTAGGTATAACTTATGGGAGAAAGAAAGACTAGGGACTGTCTGAGTACTTGAGAGAACTATTTTACCCAAAAGACTAGCACTGATTTTTTTAAAAAACGTATTTCACTGTTTGAGGCTACAGCAACCCTTGGACTTCCAAATTTGTATAAAGAAGTAGGTTATGAGAGCTATGGAGCTCCAAGGTGGGCACACTGCCTGACACTCCCTTCAGATGAGGCCATAGAGGATGATGAAAAAGAAAACCTGTCGAGGCTGTAGAGACAGGGCCATGGAGGAAAGGGACCAAGGGCTTCTCCCAAGTGGGGATATTTACAATGCCTGCCTGGCAGGATCTCACTTTGTTAGGAAATGGTGATCACTGCTTCTTTTCCTTTCTTCCCTTCTCTGAAAGGGAGTTTTAAAATTGCAGTTATTCTGCTCCTGACACAACACCTATGTGTTTTGTATTTGGGATGCGGTGAGGGATAGATGACTCATGTTGTGGTTTATAGGAAGGTCAGAATATGAGGAGGAATCTCATTTAGACCCTGATATGGTTTGGCTGTGTCCCCACCCAAATATCATCTTGATATGTAACTCCCACAATTCCCATGTATCATGGGAGAAACCTGGTGAATGGTGATTGAATTATGGGGTCGGGTCTTTCCTGCACTGTTCTTGTGATAGTGAATGAGCCTCAGGAGATCTGATTGTTTTAAAAATGAGAGCCCCTGCACAAACTCTCTCCTTGTCTGCCATAATGTGAGACATGGCTTTCACTTTCCACCATGATTGTGAAGCTTCCCCAGCCACATGGAACTGTAAGTCCAACAAACCTCTTTTTTTTTGTTTTTTTTTTTTTTTTTTTTTTTGTAAATTGCCCAGTCTCTGGTGTGTCTTTATCAGCAGCGTGAAAACAAACTAATACAGACCTGATGGAGAAACTATTCATGACCTGGAGATCCTAGACTGTGAGGTAGATGCTTGAAGGGTAGAACTTAGGGCTGTCTCTTTTTGGGAAAAGTAGGCACAGATATTTGGTGGCCAGATATAAGAATAGTGAGGGAAAAAGGTAGCTGCCTTCCAGGGTTCTGTGCTTGTGCTTCTTAGAGGAAGGATGTTACCAGGAAGAGGCTGTCTTACCCAGGACTGCAATTTTCAGGCCCCTTGCAACAAGGTGGAACCCCTTACCAATGGAATTTGAGTGTATGTAATCTGAGTCATTTTCGAGCCAAGGTAATTACGAAGTAGATGGGCCTTCTCTACTCTCTGCCACTTGATGTGGATGCCTTTTGTAGTCATATATAACAGAGCCACGATACAGAGGTGATTCAGAGGCTTCCTGTATCACCACATGGAGGAGAGCTACCCCTACACCTGAATCAATTTTTATGTGAATGAGAAGTAAATATCTATTGCATCAAGCCACTGAATCAAGAATGTGGAGGTATACAGGACTATAACATGAAATTACTGACCCTCAATCCTTATCAGCTATCTGATGGAGAGAAACAGTTTATAGTAAAGATTGCCTGTGAGATATTTAATCTATTCTTTTCTGCAGGCACTAAAATCCATTTCTGGTTTCAGTCAGACTAGTTGAGTGCTGATGGCTACACTGAGCCATTTTGTGTATACTACCTTATTGTTAGCAAAGCATCCCATACATTTTGTAGATTTAGAATATAGATTTCTTCTCCTCCCTTTCCTCCCTGCCTCCCTCTTTCTTTTTTCCTTCATTCACTCACTAGTAGCCACTACGTGTCATAAACTCTACTGGGTTATTGAAATGTGATAAGAATATTAGTATTGCTATAGTTTGAATGTCTCCTCCAAAACTCATGCTAAAACTTAACAGTATTGAGAGGTGGGGCCTTCAAGAGATGACTGAGTCACATGAGTGCTCTGCCCTTATGAATGAATTAATCCCCTCATGGATAAATGAGTTGTCTTTGGAGGGGAATGGATGGCCTTAGAAGAAGAGGAAGAGAGACCTGAGCAAGCACATTAGCTTAGCCCCTTTGACATGTAATACCCTTTGCCACGTTGGGATTCTGGTCCAAGTCCCCACCAGCAAGAAAGCCCTCTCCAGATGCAGCTAGCTCCTGGGTGTCCACAACTGTAAGAAATAAATTCCTTTTCTTTAATAATTACTCAGTTTCAGGGATTCTGTTATAAGCAACAGAAAATGGACTAATTAAAAAAATTGATATAAGGAGTGGGGTGGTGGTGATCATGAATACCTGAAAATGTGGAAGCAACTTTGCAACTGCATAATGGGCAGAGGCTGGAAGAATTTGGAGCAGCAGGATTCTGGTGAGGGCTAAGAAAACAGGAAGACTAGGCTACAGCCCATGTATCAGTATATAATCACACATCTGGCCATTTATCCTTCCATGTAAAGTGCACAGCCAGGTACACTGCTCAAAGTTCTGCCCACTGGGAAGATATCCCTTCACTGCTGTCCTTCAGGGATGTCCTAGAAAGGGGCTGTAGTGCTGCAGCTGTCCACTTTCAGATGGTGCCTGCATATCATGCAGAACCATCTGTGAACCAGGCCCTAGTCTTCTCTTCCTCTGTCAACTGATCATAGGGAACTCCTCATGAAGCCCTCAGTTCAGGCTGAGGGAGAAAAGGCAGGGTGGCAGAGGTGGAGACCATGGGCATTTGAGACACTTCCTGATGTAACTTACTTGTGCCTTCAGGACCTTCTCGAGCCCGATCATGTATATATCAATTCTATTTGATGATGGAATGCTGGTGTGCACAACCCACTTTATGGCTAGATGGGTCAGAAAGTACCCAGTTCATGATAGGCAGTTCAGGTTGCATGATGAGTTGATGACCCATAGTTAAACGTTCAGTTTCCACCAAAGCCCAGTAACAGGCCAAGAGCTATCTCTCAAAAGGAGAGTAGTAATCTGCAGAAGATGGCAGGGCTTTGCTCTAAAATCTTAGAGGCCTTTGTTGTGATTCACCTATGGGGGCTTGCCAGAGGCTCCACACAGTGTCACTATCTGCCACTGACACCTCAAGCACCATTGGATCTGCTGGGTCATATAGCCCAAGTGGCAGAGCAGCTTACAAAGCAGCCTGCACCTGTTGCAGAGCCTTCTCTTGTTCTGGACCTCACTCAAAACCGGCAGTCTTTCAGGTCACTTGATAAATGGACTAGAGTAACACACCCAAATGAGGAATATGTTTCCTCCAAAATCCAAATAGGCCCACTAGGCCTTGTGTTTCTTTCTTGGTTGTAGGGGTGGCCAAATGCAGCAACTTATTCTTTACCTTAGAAAGAATATCTCGACAGACCCAACACCACTGGACCCCTAGAAATTTTACTGAGGTAGAAGATCCCTTAATTTTAGTCAGATATAGTTCCAGAGGGAGGAACACTGCCACCAGGAGACACAACAATGATTCCATTAAATTGGAAGTTAAGATTGCCACCTGGACACTTTGGGCTCCTCTACCTTTAAGTCAACAGGCTAAGAAGGGGGTTACAGTGTTGGCTGCGGTGACTGACCTGTATTATCAAGATAAAATCAGTCTACTATTCCACAATGGAGGTAAGGAAGAGTATGTGTGGAATACAAGAGATCTTAGTATTACCATTCCCTGTGACTAAGGTCAATGGGAAACTACAACAGTCCAATCCAGGCAGGACTACAAATGGCCCAGACCCTTCAGGAATGAAGGTTTGGGTCACTCTACCAGGAAAAATTCATGACCTCTTGAGGCATTTGCTGAAGGCAAAGGGAATACAGAATGGGTAGTAGAAGAAACTAGTCATTAATACCAGCTATGACCACGTGACCAGTTGCAGAAACGAGGGCTGTAATTGTCATATTTCCTCCTCCTTTTGTTAAAAACATGTTTGTGCATGTATACACTTGTGCTATAAAAAATCTTCATTTTGTTTCCTTTTTCCTTTATCATGTGCCCTAAAATTTATTGACTTCTGTATTAGTCCATTTTCATGCTGCTGATAAAGACATATCCAAGATTGGGCAATTTACAAAAGAAAGAGGTTTAATGGACTTACAGTTCTGTGTGGCTGGGGAGGCCTCACAATCATGGTGGGAGGTGAAAGGCATGTTTCACATGGTGACAGACAATAGAAGAGAGTTCGTGCAGGGAAACTTCTGTTTTTAAAGCCATCAGCTCTTTTGAGACTCATTCACTATCATGAGAACAGTGCAGGAAAGATCTGCCCCCATAACTCAATCACCTCCCACCCAGTTTCTCCCATGCCATGTGGGAATTGTGGGGGTTACAATTTGAGATGAGATTTGGAGGGGGGGGACACAGCTAAACCATATCAATTTCATATTGGCATTTAAGTGTTGTTAACTTTATGTAATAGCATTTGAGTTGGGGATTGGTGCAGTTCCAGTTGTTCAAAGGAAGTTGTATTATGTTAGGCATAATTATGATCTTATTATTGTCTTTATTTGAAGATTATGTATGATCTCAGGAGTTGTATATGCATTCAAGTTGACAAGGAATGGACTTGTGATTGTTAATACTGAGTGTCATCTTGATTGGATTGAAGGATGCAAAGTATCGATCCCGGGTGTGTCTATCAGGGTGTTGCCAAAGGAGATTAACATTTGAGTCAGTGGGCTGGGAAAGGCAGACCCACCCTTAATCTGGGCATTCACAATGTAATCAGCTACCAGCACAGCCAGAATAAAAGCAGGCAGAAGAACCTGAGAAGACTAGACTGGTTTAGCCTTCCAGCCTACATCTTTCTCCCATGCTGTATACTTCCTGCCCTCAAACATCGGATTCCAAGTTCTTCAGCTTTGGGACTCAGACTGGCTTCCTAGCTCCTCGGCCTGCAGATGGCCTGTTGTAAGGCCTTGTGATTGTGTGAGTTAATACTCCTTGATAAACTCATATATATATATATATATATATATATATATATGTATGTATATATATTCTATTACTTCTGTCCCTCTAGAGAACCCTGACTAATACAGCTTTGTAGAAGGCCAAACTCAAGAGTGATATACTAGGGTATGTGGCAGAAGAAATTTCTATGCAAAATATAGACGTTTCATGGTCACATTTGTCCACTTACACTGAGATTTGGGAGGAAAAGAATAATTTGAAGACAGAATTTATAAATAAAAAGAAAGAAGAGTAGAAAGATTTGGAAAACTCTCAGCCTGGCCATGTAAAAAGTGAAAAAGCATGTTCAGGAGAGAAAAACCAATGGTGTAGCCCAGTGACTGTTTCCTAAAGAGATTAGCATGGATAGAAGGGAGCCAAGTATTATTCCATAAGACAATGGAAGAAAGATCCCAAAGGCATTTTATAGATCTTTGAGGCTGCTGCTCCCATCACAGGCCCAGGGGGCTAGGAAGGCAGAATGATTTCAGGGGACAGGCCTGACACTCTCTACATGGGCTTGCTGCTCAGGGATACCACGACACTTTGCTCCCAGAACCCTGGTACAGCAATGTGTGGCCATCCTAGCTGTGGCTCAAGTGGCCTTAATTGAGATGAAACCCACTCCCCAGAAGATGCAAGCCATAAACTTTGGTGTCACCAAAGTGGTGCTAATTCTGCAGGCTTGCAGAAAACAAGAGCTATGGAAGCATGGCAGCCTTCACCTAGATTTCAAAGAATGTGTCAGACAACCTGAGGGCAAGGCAGAGACTTATCACTGGGGTGGAGCCACCACAGAGAACTTCCTCTAGAGCAATGCTGAGTGGAAAGGTGCGTTGAAGGTGCTCCAGGGAGTCCCCACCAGAACAATGCCTAATGGAGCCATGGGAGTGGGACTAACACCAAGACCCCATAACTGTAGAGAGAACAGTGTGCAATGCAACCCTAAGTGAGCTGGGTAGACTGAGTCCAGCCAAGCCACAGGGGTTGGACTGCCCAAGGCCTTGGGGGCCCAACCACAACTGGTGTGCAGAAAATGCAGATATGGAGCCAGAGGAGACTATTCTGTTATTCTGGAGTCTTTTTTTCTGAGACAAGGTCTCACTCTGTTTCCTGGGCTGGAGTGCAGTGATACAATCCTGGCTCACTGTAACCTCCCACTCTGGGCTCAAGCAAAACTTCCACCTTAGCCTCCCAAGTAGTTGGGGCTATTGACATGTGCCACCAGACCCAATGAATTTTTGTATTTTTAGTAGAGACAGGGTTTTGTCTGTTGCTCAGGCTGGTCTCAAACTCCTGGGCTCAAGCAATCTGCCCAGCTCCATCTCCCAAAGTGCTTGTATTACAGGCATGAGCCACTGCACATGGCTAATCTGGAGTCTTATTACTTAATGTCTGCTCTTGGGTTTTGGACTTGCTTGGGGCCTGTTACTCCTTTCTTCTAGCCTATTTCTCCATTTTGGAATGGGAATGTGTACCCTATGTCTCTCCCACCGTGTGTCTTGGAAGTAGATGCCTTGTTTTGATTTCACAAAAAAGTAGACGGACTTTTGAGTTGGTGCTAGAACAAGTTAAGACTTTAGGGCTATGGGGTTGAAATGAATATATTTGTATGCGAGAAGGATATGAGTTTCGGGAGGCCAGGGGTAGAATGCTATGGTTTGAAAATTTGTACCCTCCAAAACTTATGTTAAAACTTAATCCCCAGTGTGGCAATATTGACAGGTGGGGCCTTTAAGGGGTAATTGGGTCATAAGGACTCTGCCCTTATCAATGAATTCATTTCTTAATGAATGAATTCCTTAATGGATTCATGGGTTTTCATGAGAGTGAAACTGGTGGCTTTATAAGAAGAGAAAGAGAGAATTGAGGTGGCATATTCCGTCCCCTTGCCATGTTATGCCCTGTGTTGCCTTGGGACTTTACAGAGTCACTCCTAGGAAGAAGGCCCTTACGAGATGCAGCCCTTTGGCCTTAGGCTTGTCAGCCTTCAGAACTGTAAGAAATAATTTTATTTATAAATTAACCAGATGCAGATATTCTCTTACAAGCAACATAAGAGAATGGACCATAAGAAAGTCCATAAGAAAATGGACTAATACAACTATTTTAAACTATATTCTCTTTATGTAGACCTGGACATATTTCTCTTTAACATTGTGCCAAGAATAGCACAATGTTATTGTGCTATTAAGCAACAGCCTGGATTAAGCTGGGAACATTCTAAATCTTGTAACCAATCTTGTTTCCCTCTTTGCATTGCCTGTTAGAAGGCTTACAGCCAAACTTGCGATGCATTGGTGGCATATTTATAGGATTGCGTGACCTTCTCTCAGTTCCCTCCCAGCTTTCTTTTAAACATCTCATCCTCATTTCCCCTGTCTTCTTACTTCTTTCATGTCTATATTACATTTTATGTTTACATTGCTGTGTGGGATTTGTCCATGTAAGTTACATTTGCTCTTTTATAAAATATTTATAAATAAAAAGAGAAAGAACAGAAACAGTTTTCAGCACTATTTAGAGTTTTCTAATAAAGTGGGCAAAATCTGGACAACAGAAGTGGAGCTGGCTGTATCTGTTAACAAGAGCCAAGGTGTCACCAGGAAAGGCATCTGCCTTCCTGAGTGCCAGGGGTTATTCATAACCAGTGACTCGCTGTTCATTTGTGAAGCTCTATGTTGACTTAATCACAACTTTCCACAGAGACATCTGTTGGTTCCACATTTGGGTTCAATTCAAATCAGAGCCCAAGTTTTGGAATGAACTCTGAGCAATCCTTAAATTTATTCTATTTTGTACAATATACACCTGCTGGTCTTACCTGCTTGGGGACTACATTATTAGATGACCAATTAATGAACACTTGCTGAAATTTCAACATTAGCCTGGAGCTCAAGAAAGAAATTTGGCCCCAACTTGACTTTGTAAGTTTTTTACCTATTACTCCCTGAGGCCTCAGCCAAACTAATTGGTGTCTTTGAAACATGCTTTGTGATTTCTCTCCTCTCTGTCCTGTTTCTCCTATGAACTTCACCTGAGTTAAGAACAATAGCTTACATCTATCAAACACTTATATGCCAGGTACTTATAAATCTTTTTACTTATTAACATGTTCAAAGCTTGCGTAGATCATATAAGGTAGATACTGTTATGCCCACCTTACAAATGAAGAAACTAAGGGCAGGGCATAAGAGTTGAATTCCTTTCATGTCTACATTACACTTTATCTGGTTGTGATGGAAATATCTATATAAGTCACCTTTAATGCCACATGGAAGATTTATAAATTAGAAATTAAAAGAACAGAAATAATTTTGTTTTCAGCAAGAGCCAGAATTTCAATCCATTCTACCTTATTCCCCAGCCCGTGCTCTTAACCACTACAGCTTTGGTTCTCAACTCTGGTTATCCCTTAGTATCCCTCATGGAGCTTTTAAAAAATGCAAATGTCTAGACCCTGCTTCAGCTCAATCAAGTAAAAATATCTAGGGGTGTGGCCAAGCCACTGATATTTTAAAAAACCTCCCTAGGTGATTCTAACATGTAGTCTGGCAGGACGTTAATCGTACTCTTTAATTTCCCTTATATGAAGGGCCTGTTTTTACATGGTTAAGATATGTTATTCTCAGTCCTTCTTACTTTTTCTGCATAAGTAGAATGAACACTCCCCTTGCCATAGTGATCCTTGATGCAAAACCAAAAGCATGCATTCACAGTCATGTGGCTAAGATGCCAAGATTTCCTATTGGAGATACTACTTCTTTCATAATCTCCACTCTAGTTTTTGCCAGCAAAACTGTGATGTAACTTTGTTACCCTAAATATCAGAGCATTGACCTAAAAATCAGAATGGACCTGTTTCCTTTCTGACATTTCTTGGGTTTATTCTCTGTATTGGTTAGAAATTTGGGCTCTAAGTACAA
The DNA here is from genome assembly GCF_000001405.40 of Homo sapiens. Lineage (NCBI taxonomy): Eukaryota > Metazoa > Chordata > Mammalia > Primates > Hominidae > Homo > Homo sapiens. The sequence goes on along the minus strand of NC_000003.12, from coordinate 68,435,520 downwards.
TGAATAGCAATTATACTAGAAACAATTTAATTCCTGTGCTATGTAGTGAGACATCCAAACACAGATCTAACCATAACATTCATTGACACAAAACCCTTTAGTGCCTGATTCCACTGCTCTTGGGCAGTTTCAATATCCACCATGGCTACCAGGCTGCTGCATGAGCTCATTCCTAATGAGATTTCCAGTCTCACTTCTTTCCAGACCCATCCCACACCCTTCTCTACCCAGGCACATTGAACTTCTTGCAGCTCCTTGGATTCATTAGGATCCTTCTTGTTGATGCTGGGCTTTTGCACATGCCATTGTTTCTGCCATGGACATTCGATCCCATCCTCTTACCTAGTCACTTAGAGTCCCAGACTGGATGTTAGTTCTGATGAGAAGCCATCTAGAACACCCTCCTGCTTCCATCATTTAACACCCTAACCTCTGCTCTCAGAGCACTCTGGGCTCATCTCCATCAGAGCACACATCACACAACTTTGCAATCACCAATTTGCCTGTCATCTCCCCTGAACTTTATAATCATTGAAGCAGAAATCATGTCCTATTGGTCACTCTATCTGATGCTCAGTATTAGAGAGTGTTAGTAAGTATTTGCAGAATGAATCTTCTGATTTGGCATTTTCTTGGGCCTTTCATGTATCATTTTTGGTTTCGACAGGAGGTAGTATTAGACATGTTTCTCTTGAATTCCACAGACAATGCAAAATGAAGTCCGCAAAAATGACTAGTTTTAGACACATGGTGTTAACTCTGAAATGTATACCAAATTCTGTCAGTCAGTCAGCAGGCTGGAAAAGCCATTTGTAGTGTTTTCCCATCAGAATAATCATGTAGTATATTGAGTAATTCTACCTTTGGTCACAAGTTATGTGTAAATTCATCCTGATACATGTTTTGTGCCTTCCAGGAATATTAGAAAAAGTCATAGATAGAACAAATTTCTGCTTGAGGTCTTCTTTATTTTTGTATCAAAATGGAAGAAAAAAATTCACAGCACATGAACACAAAGAAGGGGGCAAAAGCTCTTCAATGTACTGTAAAACAGACATCTTAGGTATGGTATCTAATAAGGTTCTATGGTTGAATCTGTTTATATTCAGTTTCTTGTAAATAGCAGCCAAGAAAATATTTACATTTTCTTCTACTGCTTGTAACAAGCTCATTGCTAGAAGAGGCTGTATTTAGACAGAAAGAAGTACAGAGGAAATTGTTGAGCCTTCCTCGGAACAGTCCTTTAATTGCTGCAAAAACTTAGTCCACACCAATCTCAAGTTACCACTTCACATAACACTAGCAACTCAAAAGTAAAACAACATAAAAACTTAAGTTTATTGATTTCAGACGATACAAATGCTTAGAAGAGTTCACTGCCAATTCAGTTTTGTTGATAGAGATTATTGTAGCCTCTATAACATTAAAAACATCAGGTTTTTGACTGGTTCCACCAAGTACAAGACTTCAACTTTTCTCTGATATCCTTTTACAGAAAACTTAGGGTAGAGATAGTCAATTGAGTCTGTGATACACTCAGGACAAAAGAATGTCCTTTACACATAAACAATGCTCAAGTGTAAGTCTGGGAATTGTTCCTGTGCTGTCTTAATTTCTCCACTTTAACAGTGAAGTGTTCAAGAGATGGCCCACCAAATCTGTATCTCACATCAATCCTTTCAATTGTTAGAACTAATACTTATTCAGAACTAATTCTGTGCTAAGTGCTCTACATGCATTTCTTATATAATTCTCAAATTACATTGTGAAGTTAAGTTCTTGTAATTCCTGTTTTCAGATTTGGGAACTTAAATTTAGGATTATAGTAGAGCTGGAATTGGAACATAAATCCATCTTTGATTTGATCTTGTCCCACTACATAAGTACAAAAGACATGAATTATTTGAGCATCTGTACCAGTCATTGTGCTGGGCACTGGCATGCAGCTGTGAACAAGACCTTCATGAACTTTGCCTTCATGCAGCATTTGTTGTACAGAAATAAAGATAGTATTAAAATGTAATTTAAAGTGGGAATTTGTGTTCCAAAGAGGGAAGAACAAGATGTACAGTAGCCAACAACAGGAGGACTTAGATTAGTTTTTGGAGGCTGTGTATGATAAAGACTTCAGGCAATAAGAATGAAGATCCTTCAGTAATCAAGGTGAAAAGGTGATAATGGCTTCAGCTTGGTTATTGGATAGAAATTGAGATGGAAAGAAGGGAAAAGATGAAAGAGAATTAGTCAGAGGAACTAAGGAGTTCTGATGACAAAATGGACATGGGCCATGAGGAAGTGAAGAAAGGCAAAGATGTTTCCCAAGAGGCTGGCTTGAATAAAGAGTAAATGCAAATGCTATTGAGTGATGCTGAAACCATGCTCAAGTAAGCAGACTGGTGGAAATGTGTGCTCCATTTTCAGCATATTGAATTTGAGGTGTCTTTGAGAAATCCAAACGGAGATGTCTAATAACTACATGAACAAAATGACCTAGAGTTTGGAAGAACGGATTAGGCTAGGTGCATAGACTTGGGAGCTATTTGGGTCTCTGAAGCCATGAGAATGAATGAAGTAACCTAGGGAGTCTCTATAGTGAGAAGAGAAAGGCAGCTCTCGTGTGAGGGCTAAGAGAAGACCAAAGTCAGGGGTAAGTCAACCTGTACCTAATGTGCCCCATCTTCAGTGAAATGCACACTCCTAGTTCCTTAATTCCATCATGCATATGAGATATTTCATTTCCAGAGGTACTGTGAGTACCAATGGGAGCTTGGAAAATGAGTGTCTTCTCTTACTTGGACTGGGATTAGAAGATGTCCTCAGTACCTTCACTTCTGCATGAAAACACGGCATGTCGCGTTCAACTTGTCTCCTCTTATCATGCCTGATGGGATACAGACTTTTCTATGTCATGACCAGCTTCTTTTTGTTTCTCTGCACACATTTCTGGAGACTTGAAAGTCTTGTTTTATGGTTGGAGGTAATCAAATGAGGAAAAGGTGCACAAGCAAAGGCATTACAATCAAAATTGCATGATTTCTTATCTTAAGCTCTAGAAATGCACTTATTAATGAAAATATAAATTTAATATATTTTCTGAGTGCATTATTGCTAATATAATTGAGGGCTCACAATATGCATGGAGATTGGATTACGCATTTGTGGTTTATATGAATTTTCTTGTTTAATATTCCCTTCAACTCTTCCATGCTATATTCTTTTCATTTCCTTTTTATAGAAAAAGAGACTGTGGTTCCAAGAGGGTAATACGTTTAAGGACACGTTATGAAATGAGACCACCACTTCTCCTGTTGTCCTTCCCAGCTTCTCCCCAACCTCCCCTTTTCCCTAGTTTATAAGACAGGAGAAAAGGGAGAAAGCAAAAAGTTGGAAAGCAACAGAGGTAAGATAAATAGCTAGATGACCTTGGCACCACCATCCGGCCCTGGTGGTTAAAATAATAATAATAATATTAACCCCTGACCAAAACTACTGGTGTTACCTGTAAATTCCAGACATTGTATGAGAAAGCATTGTAAAACTTTTTGTTTTGTTAGCTGATGTATGTAGCCCCCAGTCATGTTCCTCACGCTTACTTGATCTATTATGACCCTTTCACGTGGACCCCTTAGAGTTGTAAGCCCTTAAAAGGGCTAGGAATTTCTTTTTCGGGGAGCTCGGCTCTTAAGACGTGAGTCTGCCGACGCTCCCAGCCAAATAAAAAACTTCTTCCTTCTTTAATTTGGTGTCTGAGGAGTTTTGTCTGCGACTCATCCTGCTACAACGTGACTAATCAGTGGCAGAATTAGGGTTGAAATTCAAGCCTCTGTGTGTTCCAAGTCACAGTGTTTCTATATTCCCATAACAAATTTCCATTTGTCTGTTTGAGAATGAATGCAATCTTAATATCTTTCATGAGTAATACTATCAGATTGCTGAGGTTGAATCTTGACTCTCCAACCTGGTAGCTATGTGACCCTGGGCAAGCCCCTTATCATCTTGAGCCCCAGTTTCCTTATCATTAAAATGGGGATAATAACAATAGTACCCATCTCATGCATTGTTATGAAGATTAGGTATCATAATGTTGGTAACATTTTCAGTAGGATATGAGACACAGTGTCAGTCCTCAACAACGCTCAGTCCCTGTAGTTGTTATAATTCTTGCATAAGGGCTGCTAAGGGCAATAGGTAATTTCTATAGTGTGAATGTGGTTTTATTACATTGTTTCTCAAACTTATGTGCTTGAAGATTTTAAAGGGAGCAGGACTTGGTAATGTGAGAAACAGCCATTTCTCCATCATCTCTTTCTTCACAAAATAGACTTATAACACCTGCATTTGAATTTTTACAACACTATACTACCCCAGATTTCATGGAAGGCTGGTCAGGCGTCCTTTGGTATAGGTGTTATAGAGGCTTTTGTAGGGGGTTAGGGAGGGAGCTACATACAACATGGTGTTGTCAATCCATAAAGAAATAAATTAGAGTTGAATAACTTAAGTGCCAATCAGGAGAAAAATAAATTGACATGAGCCTGTAGTTAAAATAAACCCCAAATGAGAAGCCGTTTACCCAGATGCGCTTCCCCTGTATAAAGAATCTCTTAGTTAATACAGTATCTTAAGACTGCTTCAGACAGTAAGCAGAATTGAAAAGAACAGTGATTTAAAATTTCCATCCAAAAGTTTTGTTTGTTTGCTGTGTGTGTGCAGTTGTGAAGACTCTTTGTAGCAGTGTGAGCGGTTGGGAGTAGAGAGTGAATGAGACATTCAGGTGACAGCAACCCTGTGTGGGTAACAACATGTGTGGAGGCTGGTAGTATCAAAAAGACAATTTGACTTGCTTTGCTTTGGCATTGTCTGAAGTGTTAGTATAGAGGTTTTGAAATCTGTTGTCAGACACTTCATAGGAGATGTTTGTCTCTATAGAGGGCTCTCAATACTGTCTCCTCACTCACAAAATTCTAAGTTGACTAATTTACGCAATTTCCCACTGCAGATTCCTTTATTGCCCCCTCTAAGTACATGATTAGCATGACTCAGTTTTAAGAACTATGTTACGTAATAGAGACACACAGCTTAATTACTACACTATTTATTGTTACTTCTTGTTTGGCCGTATCTAACTTTTCAGCCTTCTGTCTCATGCAATTTCATTGTCCTATGGGCTTCCACCACCATGGCTTTCTCTCAACTTTTTGATTAAAACCCATGGCTTTTCTGCATGCTCTCTTCTATGCCTGCAATGCTGCTCACCCACTAGCTTGAGCTGTACCTCACATTTCAGGCTTCCTGTCACGTCTTCACGGAAGTCTTCTTAGTTCCCCAATCTCCTTTATATTCCTCATTATTGAATCCTCTCCAAGGACAGAATTCTTTTCCTTCTGAATGTGTGGTTTACTTGTATATGTTTAGGTATGATTAGATCATGGTCTGTCTCTCCTGCTGGACTGTAGGTTCCATGACAGCAAGGGGCTGTCTTTGTTCAGCATTATGTGATTAAGTATTTGGCATAATTCCTGGCACATAGTCAATACTCCAAAAATAATTGCTGAATGAATGAATGAGTGAGTAAGTCTCTCTAGCAAAGGAGATAACAAGTCAACAAAGATTATAGTACATTACAGTGAGTTATGAGAAATGTTATACAGGCTGTTCCAAGGACTCACAGGTGGGCATTATTAACTTAGGCATAGCGGCTTCAGGAAGGACCTCTGGAATTGATGATCTAAGTTGAGTAATGAAGAGTCAGATGGTATGAAGAAGGGGTTTTGAGGATGCATTTCAATCAGATGGATTAACAAGTGTTGAGATATGAGTCTAGATAATGGCAGTCTTGAAATTCGGGAATGAGGAGAAATGGATGAATTTGGAATGTAAACATATGGAACATGAATGATGATGGTGTGTATGTTGAAGGAAGAGCTTAATCAGGAGGCTAGTGTGACTGGTGTTATTGTTCTCCTAGAGAGCAAATATAAGAAGTGAACTGGTACTCTGAATCTTTCCTACCCTTGCTTCTGATCCTGTCTTCTGCCCATTATTTCCAGCAGTTCCCACATGGGGTCCCATGTCTATCCCTACCATGTCCTGGAAGGAATGATCTAACTTCTCTAAGGCATCAGGTTCTTCCCTTGTAAAGTGGGAATAATAGTACCTATCTTATAAGGCTATTATAAGGATGATATAAGTAATAAATTCAATACACAGAGTCTGGCACACAGTAAGAACTCAGTAACTACAAACCAGTAAAATTACCAGTTTTAGCCTACTACTCTAAGTAGTGTTCCATTTAGTTGAGAAGATCATTGCCAGGTGACATGGACAGACTTAACCTCCCTGGTTTGTAAAGAAAAGAGAACAAGGCAAATATCCAGAATGAGCCCAAGATGAAAGGCAACATCTCCCATGAGAAAGAGCTATGGGGAACACAAATGGGCTGCCTGCTGAAATCAGTATTTCAGTTTCAGGTGCCTCAAGGCATGCTGTAGAGCAATCAATCTCTGCTCTTGAATTCCATGACCCCAAGTATATTCTCACAATAACTTCCCTTTTTACTTGAACCTCTATTGAGAAGGTTTAGGTTTCTTGTACCCGGGAGACATTGATGAGAAGAGGCATCTGGCATAAAGCAAAATTAGTGCATAGGCACCAAAGGAGACCATGAATGACGACTTCTAAGTTAGCATGTACAGGTCACTCTAAATTTAAAGGATGTGACCTTCCTTTGAATGAGTGTCTAGTTAATTGCCCAATCATTTTATAAGCCTAAGTAATATAAATTGATAGTCCAATAAATTTTACCCTCAATTATTAAAATGATGCAATAATGAAAATACCAAGTAATATCAGATATTATTGGACTTGCTTTTCATTTCATAAACGAAACAGGTGAAATGGGGAGGGTGAGAGTGTTCCACCAATGTCTTAGGTCAGTTGGTGATCTCAAACCCATCTGTTCTTACAGAGTTGGTGCATAAGATTTCCTTCCTATGACTACTCCACCCATCTAGGAACCCAGGTTTCTCCTCTCGTTTCCTGGGGGTCACCTATGCAGGGTAGGAGGCTAAGGAGGTCGAAGGATGCCTGTGTTTATGACTTTTGTTGGAAAATCAATGTGCAATATCTAGCTGCTGTTAATGGATGGTCTTCACTTGAAGGCAGCTAATAAAATGGCTGGAACAAAGTGTAGTGAGCTGTCAAGTACAGTGTTCTCTTGGCTGGAGGCTGGAGATATGGATCTTTAGATAAAGTCACATCTCTCTGGTACTAGTCACAGATGGCCTTTACTCTAGTAGGCCACATTCCTGCTACCCATGTGGTCCTTCCTTCCTCCTCTCCCTCTGCTCTCAACAGTATGGGTAACAGGAAAATACTCATTCTTCAATTTTAAATCTGAATACCTTAACAGGTTTTGAATTTAAACTCCACATGTTTGGGCATCTCTGCTCCGGTTAGTGGGTGCATTAGTCCATTTTCATAGTCCTATAAAGAAATACCCAAGACTGGGTAATGTATAAATGAAAGAGGTATAATGGACTCATAGTTTCACATGGCTGAGGATGGCTCATAATCCTGGCAGAAGGCAAAAGAGGAGCAATGGCACAAATTACATGGTGGCAGCAAGAGAACATATGCAGGGGAATTGCCCTTTATAAAACCATCAGATCTCATGAGACTTATTCACTATCACAAGAACAGCATGGGAAAACCTGCCCCCATTATTCAGTTACCTCCAACTGGGTCCCTCCCATGACATGTGGGGATTATGGGAGCTATAATTCAAGATGAGATTTGGGTGGGGACACAGCCAAACTTTATCAATGGGTAATTCATATCTTGTTGTTTGAACTTGTATGGGGGGGGTGGTAGGTTTTCAAAAATTCAAGGAGCTTCAGAGGATGGAGGAACATATATATCATTAATTTTTTAAAATATTACTCATCTGTATAAGTTTATATACAGGTCCCAGAAGGGGATACAAGTTTTACTACTTCCTTATATAAAGTTATCAGATTTTTCCACATAGCAATGTACCAGTATCCTTGGCAGCTTCCAGTGTTGTTGCAGAAGGACAGGGTTATAGATTTTCCTAGAAGTGTGAAATAATTCACAAGATTTGCTAGTTATTCATGTGGACAGCACATTAATAACACAGGACCCTAGAATCCTGCCTTATCTAGGCTGAAGCCCAGCTAAAGAGATGAGGAGCTGACTCCTTAGATTTAGAACAACATTTTTCCCACTTTCTGGAAAAAGAAAGGATGAAAAGTGCTATCATATCAGAGAAGACCAGTTCTTTGAAAACACCTGAGCTCTCTAGAGATAAATGAAAACCAATGACTTGGGGGCTACTTTGGGGAAATTTCTTTGTGAATTTGAGGTTATGTGTAAACAAGTTTATGGCAGTTAGGTAACTGACAAGGATTTTGGGTGTGCTGTGCCATGACCTATCTCTCTCTCTCACACACATGACATACACATCATGACAGATGTTTATACAGAGAATTTTGCTTCTCTTAAGTGGCTATATAGATGGGCTTTACAATGAGACTTGCTACATTAATCCAAGTATACGCATTAAATCTAATTTTATGTATAGTTTTCACATTAAAATAACATCAAAATTCTTGAAATATTTCTTAGATGATACCCACAGTCATGAATCTGATCCTGTTGAGAAAATGCAGAGAATTAAACATTCAAGAGATGTTGCTAAAGTCATTGCAATTATAATGCACATAATTTGTATTATGTACCCGAAACAGCCAGTCTCATCACAAAATTTCCTATTTATCATCTTCTTTGTTGGTGAACCCCATAGAGAAGAGTGGCTAACTAATTGAGTTTGTAAGCCGTTTATCACCGAGTATGATTTAAATGTAATTTTTTTGTCTTTCTTCCTTAAGTCTGGATATTACCAAACTTTTCATCTCTGCCTATTTGATTGATGAAACACTGTAGTTCAGTGTTTAATTTACATTTCTTCATGTGAGTGACGGTAAGCATTTTTTCCATGTTTACCAGCCATTTTTATTTCTTTCAGTGAACTACTTATTTCCCTGCGCTAAAAAATTTAGGTTCAGAGCAGTCTGTACAATATAATATCATTTTTATTTATAAAGTTTTATATGTCTATACCTGTAGGCCTGCATGTACCCAAATATTTTTCTGTAAGGATGTGTAGAAATATGACAAGGATAATTTCCTCTGGCAATTATGATGTGAGAGGATTAGTGAGAAAGAAAAAAATGAAGAATTACTTTAATTTTTATCCTTTCTTTGTTAGGTTTATACAGATACATTTCTTTTGTAAAAATTTTTAATTGATAAATAATTACGGGGTACAATGTGATGTTTTGATGTATATTTCTATTATGGAATATATGCATACTTTTATATTCACAACAGATTATATATATTACTTTGATTAAAGAGTATATTTTTTCTACAAAATTAATTTTTTAGAAAAAATAATTCATTCAAAATTAGTTTATTCACTTGAAATTAGTAGGAAACGACTGTATGAGCTTGTTACCACATATTCCATTGCCTTTAAGGACCAGGCAGGAACATCAACCTGTCAGAGCCTAGTGCAATAATAAGAAAGAGTGAGCCTTGTGGGAAACTGGAGTGTCCCATTTAAAGGCATGCAAAGTCAATTTTTTCAATACTCTGCTGACCTCAGGAACAGGTCTGAGAATGGTTTTTGCCAGTGGGCTGGAAACTGGCAACTGCTGCTCTAAACTAGAAAACAAACAAACAAACAGAAAGATGACAACATCTGCTATTAGATAGATACATATGATGACTGAATTCCAGCTGTCTTTATTAGGAGGAACAAACGTAGACACCTATCTTTTATTAGGCAGTATAAAAAGCTTTGACAGTTCTTGTACATTCATCCTCTCATTCCTCTTATGAATGCAGACTTGCATCTCTCACACACCTGTACATGCTTAGGTGCCAAGTTGGGGACTAAATGCTGTTTCAAGGAGGATTTGCATAAGATTCAGAAAGCATGCCTGAAAATGCCATCACTTCACTAAAGATGTTATGCAAGATCCTCTTCTAATAAGAACAATCGAATTTCCCTTTATAAATGTCTTCTGATAAAGTCAAATGCGTTCAGCATTCCATCTACTAAACAAGCTTTGGTGTGTTTAAAAAGAACAAAGCAAGTTTCAAACAGAGACAGTAATGAAGGAACCACAGCCAGCCTTTGTGGCATGCATCCCTGATCCACCACAGCAATTCATTATCTCAGTATTTCATCGTGTGTGGATGACAAGTAACAAATGGCAGAACCAAAATAGGTCATCTTCTCTGTCCCCAAAAACGTTTAATATTTGTGAATATAAATAGGGGCTTAGGGTTTTTCATACTAGGCTTGCTCTGGAAGCTCTCTAGATGATTTCCAAGCTGCAGTTGAGCCCGACATGTCACTGAGATACTATAAATCACATCAGTATAGGATCAGTTGTGTACTCTCTGGCCAGCCAGTCTTAGGCAACACTTAGCTATCTTCGGGCATCACACTATCCATTAACTCGGAAGACTTGAAAGACATTCCTAAAAAACAAATCATAGTCCACAGACTCTACAGCATCATGGCCCCAAGTCTATTGCATGGAATTCTGGGGACTAGAGGAGACAAATAAATGTTACAGTTAAAAAGGTTCTAAAAAGTTTGGGAAATATTGTGTTCAAGTTTAATAAGCTACTTGTCTACAGAATTTCTCAGAGCCTTTAATACACTGTCATGTTTTGGAAGGCTAAGCAGAGGCTATCATACATAATCCTTCTCACATATATCTCATGTTATCCTATGAAAAACTGTTGCTGAATTTCAAACTTCCTTCAATTATCAAACCTTTTTCTCTACCATGGCTGTCTCTAGGAAATATGATGGTATGTGGTCAAGAAAATTGTATCATGACTTTTTCCCAGGAGCAATCACCAGAAGGAATTTTTGCAGAAGTTCTTGTTCTAGAATCTCATATAATGCCACTTGAAAAAAAAATTAAAGTTACATCTGTCAAATTTTATTTTGTTAAAAAATAGTTATAAACTGTAAGACTGAATACAAACAGTTCTTGGGGAAAATGAATCAAGCCATTTTATGGATAGATGTATTAATGTTCCTTCTAAGCATTTCTTTATTAACTACTCTCTTTTACTACCCTTAATCTCTGACCCTCTCTTTCTCATATGCTTTGTATGTTTCTTTCTCTCACTGTCTGGTCTGTCTCATCTTCTCTGTCAGTCTGTTTTCCTGGGTCGAAGTCTTTATGTATGTCTTCTCTGTCTCATTTGCACTTATCTTGGGGACTAAGTATGATGAGCCAGGAGCAAAATGTTCTGTTACGTTGTAAGTTTTGTTTCTTCACAGAAATAGCAGGATGACTTTTTCATTGTATTAACTAAAGGGTTTTTTTATTTGTTTGTTTTGTTTTGTTTTAAACTTGGGTTTTCACTGCCGTGAAAGAAAGTTTTCTGATGTAACCTGGCCTTTTTGTTAACACTTTCTCTTGCTGGTGATCCAGTATAAGACGGCAAGAACACCAGGTGAAGGTTGCTAGTAATCAGTCATCCAAATGGTCATAATTTACATGGAATGAGAAGAAAGACTTCTGAACTTATCATAGAGATTTTTTTCTTAATTACAGTGATGCTAAAATCCACAAGGGATTAAAGGACCTCCCCTACTAACAACTAGTTAAATGCCCCCCACCCCCCATATTTGTCCATGTTAGAAACAGATAAAAATTACAAGACAACAAAATCCTAAATAGAGAAAACTGCACGAAAATTTTACCACTCCCACTATGCCTTAAACAATGAAGCTTCAATCATTCTATAAAAATAAAAGCACTGAAAGAACTGCTTCTAATTGCTCCATAACAATGAAAGTGCAATCATCTTTATGATGTAGAAAAAAAAGGGGCAGGTATTGCCCAATGAACTGGGTGTTTCTGTAAGTATCCACATGGTTGGTTTTACTTCCCTCTCACCCAGATATTTTGCATCTTATAAGAATGCCCTTGGAATATAACTTGTGTTCATGTCAGTTAAGAGTTTGCCTATGCTTGATGAATGATGAGCCCTGAAGACAGCCCAGGCTGACCTTCTGGCTATGCCATGACTGGCTATGTGATTTTTGAGTCAGTCACCAAATTTCGCTGATCCTCAGTTTCCTGGCGAATAAAATGGAAATAATGGGAGGACATACCTTATAGGGTTAGAGTTAGAATTAAATAAGTGTATAGACTTAGAGTAGTTGGGACAGTAGCACATAATAGCCTTAAAAAATGGTAAACATTATTTTTATTATTATTACTGGTATTAATTATGTTCCATTATTTTTACAACTTTGAGATCGATACTATTTTCATGCCATTGTAGATTAATCAGAATCATAGAACGTAACTTCATAAGCCCTCCAGAAATTTATTTTTGTTTGTTTTAAATCATTTGCTTGGAAAAATTGTTCTCAAATAAATAGGTGTGTTTTGAGTCATCAACCTCTTGTTTATGAATCTTTATTTGATTTTAACTTTTAGTCCCCGAGAAGAACTTGGAAATTAATGAAAGGCTGTAGGTAATATTTTTAGTTGTTCTCAACTAAAGATATTGAGTAGCATGCTCCCCACTTCCATTTTGGGTTATAGATTAATTACTAATTAGGGTATAATGACTTACATTCCTTCAGAATAGTGCTAGGCACAGGTTCAAGGATATAATGCTTTTATAAGTATTTATAAATGACTACTTCATAACTTAATTTGGCAAGTGTGTAATTTGGTGTTTTCAATTATTAGAAAATAGAATATCATTTTTGAAATAAAAGATCACCACTTAAAATTTTCTCCAAATATATATTATACTCTTGAATAAGCTGCTAAGGTTTTACCCCACATTTTCTGTTCCATTTTAAATAATCTGCTCTCAGATTCTCAACCTTAAAGCAATCCAATATATGCTTCTTTTAAAATGATAGCTATTCTCTTGTTTTTGAAAACACTGTAAAAGGCAACTGACCTGAAATTTCAGAGGAAGGCAAATAAGAGCAATTGGAACACTTACCATGGGAAATTCACTGCATAAGACAGAATATGTTTAGGACAAACGTGGTGTATAAACTATCAACTGCTGTCACGCAGAGAAGTTGATGCCTGTCTATTCCTAGGGAACTGAGATTGGGAATGCAAGAAACTCTGTAAATGCCATAAAGTGGAGAGGATAGTTAAATAAATGGTGGTGTATCCACCTCTGAAAAACCCATATAGCTATTAACAATAAGTTTTTGAAGAATATGTATTCACTTGGGAAATGGTCATCATATATTAAGTGAAACAAGCCATCCATAAAACTTTGCTACAGCATTTTAGTTCAATAAAATACCTACAATGTGAGTTTGCTTTTTAGTAGTGGGGTAAGACTGGAAGGACATATATTAATATGTTATCTTACAATGTAGTAATAGTCCCTGGGCAATGATATCATGGGTGATTTTAGTGCATGGATGTATCTCTGAAATTTTCAAAATTCCTATTATAAACATGCATTCCTGAAGATGACTTACCAGTATTAGTAATATCCAGGATAATTAGTTGGAAGCATTTCTAAGAAAAGATGATGGCTAAAATTCCACCGTGTTCAATTAATATGAAACAAAACTCATAAAAAAAGTTTCTCTCTAAGCATTATCCACATTTACTAGTGAGATAGAAAACAGATATTATCATTTAGTGAGCCTCTGAAGGGAGTCAGACATTGTGCAAAAAACATTATATAGAAGATTTTCTTAAATCTTAAAAAAATCAGCACAATCTTAAAAAGTAGAAATGTCTATAATCCCTATTTTACAGATGAGCAAACTGAGCTTAGGAAGCAAATGTCATTCTATCAAAAATAAAGACGAGGAAGCTGAGGTTAGAAAGCAAATGTCATTCTATCAAAAATGTCATTCTATCAGTAATAGGTACAGCTGCGATTCCATCCAGGTATATGAAATTTCTCACTCCATGATGTGAATAACTATACTGAAATTTTAATTTATAGTCACACTTTATATTTAATTTTCATTTAGAGATCTAGGCCACCAAAACAATTTTGATCATAGCAACACAATAGACTTGCCCATACATGCCAATGGATTGAAGGATTTTGGAGTAGAATGTTACCAAAAATATAAATAATCAACATGAGAATAAAGAACACTCAATACTTTATTGACTTTTGCCTGGAATGCAGAAAGGATAGCCCTTTTGTTTGAACCAACCACACCAAAGGGTTCAGAGTTCCCAAAGTCGAACAAAGTTTTCCTGAGATAAAAATATTACTGTTATGTGGCTTAACTTCTTACAAATCTTAGGGCTAGATACCATTTCCCCCTCTGTCAGCATAAGCAATGCATTGCACTTTGTGTTTTGTATCCAAATCCTAAAGGCAATTCTATTTCTAGATCATTAGAGATAAAAATGAACTGGAAACAAAATGAAGATTTATAGTTAACGGCTTCAAGGCTTTCTTTGGCAAAGAACATGAGAAACCATCATGGTTTTGTTTTATAATGCTTATTGGCTTCTAGGGCCAAGAGTTTCTTCTTTAAGAGAGAGGGAAATAGCTTTACTCATCTAACTGCCTGCCTTCCCTGCATTAGAGGTGCTCACTGTGTTGACTGTAGTGTAGAGTAAGTAAATAATCATAGTGCTAGTTTTTCAACCTCAGCACCATTGACATTTTGAGCTCGAGAATTCTTCGTTGTGGGGATTCGGGGGCGCAGGGGTTGTCCTGGGCATTGCAGGATGTTCAATAGGATTCATGGCCTCTACCCACTAGGTATCAGTAGCAGCTCCCTTGTTGTGACAAATGGGTAGACCCAAATATCTCCAGACATTACCAAATGATCCCTGGGAGAAATTGCCCCAGTTGAGAACTAGTCCCAGTATATCCCCAAACTTGACTTTTTAACATCCTTTAAAAAACAGTTTGACCTGGCCAGGTGTGGTGGCTCATGCCTGTAATCCTAGCACCTTGGTAGGCCTGGGCAGGAGGGTTGCTTGAGCCCAGGAGTTTGAGACAAGCCTAGGCTATGTAGCACGACCTCATCTTTACGGAAAATAAAAGAAAAATTAGGTTGAGGGAGAATGGTTGCTTGAACCTGGCAGTTTGAGGCTGCAGTAAGCTATGATGGTGCCATGGCACACCACCTGGGTGACAGAGCAAGATCCTGTCTCTAAAAAATAAAAATAAAATAGCTTGACCTTCCCATGGCATATAATTGACAGCTGTATATGCCACATAAGCTTGCTCCTCTGGCTGTGACTAGCTGGGCAAAGGTTGACACACTGGCCTAAGCTGGGCCAATCACATCTTTTCTTCTCAGATAATGTATTAAGACACAGAAACTGAGTCAAATATATTCATGCCCTGAAGCAATACAATCATGCTGAGAGAGATTAGAATCAGTACCATGAAAGTAAAAGCCTTATATCATTCTCTAATTTATGAGAAGGTAAAAATAAAAATCTTGAAGAGAGACAGTCTACATAGGAGAGAACTAGGTAAACGAGATCAGAGATAGTATGTTCCGTGAACAAAGAAAATGAGATGACAGCTGCCTGAAGAATTTACGAATTCCACGAGGTTTGGCTGAATTTCCTTTAATTGGTTCACCGCGATTCCTTTATTTTCTTAAAATACTTCCTCTTTACTTAGCCTAGCTTGAGTGTGTTTCTCTTTCTAACCACCTACTGACCCACAATGAAAATACATAACATGAATCGATCTAGAGGTTGTCCTTCCTTATCTATATCTAGAGGAAGAACAATGAACACCAAGCCAAGGGATTCAGGTTCAGTGTCCTGTTATGTGAACCAAGCAAGTGACTCATTTCTTTGAGTCCTCCTCCTGATTTCTTAAATAAAGGATTTGAAAATCAACTTACACCCAGCTCTAAATTATGAAACATAAAGATGGGAGGAGAGATTTATAGTCCCTTTGCGCCTTGGACTCATTGTTTGACAGTAACATATAAAATTGTCTTAAAGGTGGTGGTCTAAATTTGGTATTAGAGTCCATTATGCTGGGCTGAAGAGTCATTCAAGCCAGGGCTTATCAACCATAGGATGAATGGAACACTATTCAACCCTTCCAAGCCTCGGTTTCTACATGTTGAAAATGGTAGATAAAAATGTATCTCCTTATGGTAACCAGCTTCCATGGTGCCCCACAATGATCCCTGACTGCTGGTCTTCCAGCCCTTGCGGTCTACCACCACAATGAATAGGGGCTAGTGGGTATAACCTGTAGGATATTGTGGAAATAAAAAAGAGTAACTTTCTGAGGTGACATATAAAGGCTTCTGTATTGTTTTATTGGATTACTCACTTTGAGGGAAGCCAGCTACCACGTTGTGAGGACATCAAGTTTTTTTTGAGAGGTTCACGAGGCGAGGAAACAAGACCACCTCCCAACAGCCATGTGAACAAGCCATCTTAAAACCATTCTGCCATATCAGTCAAACCTTCAGATCTTGACTGCAACCACATGAGATACTCTAAGCCAGAACCTCGTAAGTTTAATTCGTGACACACAGAAACTGTGACATAATGTTTTCTGTTTTAAGCTGCTAAGTTTTGGGATTTGTTATATCACAATAGAGAAAAAATATACTGCTTTGTAGAATTGTTGGGAGGATTAAATAAAATAATGCATGAGAAGTGTTTAGCACAGGGTTTGATCCATACTGAGGACTCAGGACAATTCTGTTTGTTCATCAGTTTTTCTGGAGCACCCAGAGTGGTATCTGGAATACAGTAAGTGCTCATTAAATATGTGTTGAATGAATGTTAGGTATTGTTATATTTGTCAGGCCTCTGAGCCCGAGCCCAAGCCAAGCCATCACATCCCCTGTGACTTGCACGTACACACCCAGATGGCCTGAAGTAACTGAAGAATCACAAAAGAAGTGAATATGCCCTGCTCCGCCTTAACTGATGACATTCCACCACAAAAGAAGTGTAAATGGCCGGTCCTTGCCTTAACTGATGATATTCCACCACAAAAGAAGTGAAAATGGCCGGTCCTTCCCTTAAGTGACGACATTACCTTGTGAAAGTCCTTTTCCTGGCTCATCCTGGCTCAAAAAGCTCCCCCACTGAGCACCTTGCGACCCCCACTCTGCCCACCAGAGAACAACTCCCCTTTGACTGTAATTTTCCTTTTTCTACCCAAATCCTATAAAACGGCCCCACCCTTATCTCCCTTTGCTGACTATCTTTTGGGACTCGGCCCACCTGCACCCAGGTGATTAAAAGCTTTATTGCTCACACAAAGCCTGTTTGGTGGTATCTTCACACGGATGCGCATGAAAATATTTATTATCATTATCACCATCATCATTCTCTAGAGCCTCAGTCCAAAATCATTTCCCAAATGAGCTGGACCTTCATGTTTCTTGACCTGAAAAAAATGTCAAATTGTAACCCCCAGTGTTGGAACAGGGGCCTGGTGAGAGGTGACTGGCTCATGGAGGCAGACTTCCCCCTTGCTGTTCTTATGATAGTGAGAGAGTTCTCACAAGATCTGGTTGTTTAAAATTGTGTAGTACCTCCCCCTTGGCTCTCTTCCTCCTTTCCTGGCCATGTAAGACTTGCTTGCTTCTCCTTCACTTTCTCCTGTGATTGAAAGTTTCCTGGGGCCTCCGTAGCCATGCTTCCTGTACAGCCTGTGCATCCAGGAGCCAATTAAGCCTCTTTTCTTTATAAATTACCCAGTCTCAGGTTTTTCCTTATAGCAGTGTGAGAATGGACTAATACAGTTGCTCACAGCCCAGTCACCTCTCAAAGGTCCCACCTCTCAATGCTGCAATGGCAAGCAAATTTCAACATCTATTTTTTGGGGAAAAAACATTCAAATAATAGCACCAGAGAAAAAAGAATTCAAACTCTGCTGAGGCTGGCAATTGTATAACTTTCTAACACTTCGGATGCACCTTGTTCATTATCTGGAACCATATTAGATAAAACAAGAAATTATATTATGTATAGTGAATGCCATGTGAGCTTTTCAAGAGGTAAAACCAGGTACCTACCATCGACGCAAGAAGGCCGGTTTCTTGTTGTTCCAGCCACTTTTCCAGGTAGACAGGAACACTTTACTGTTTGTGACCGCTCCTCAATGCGATTCTTGTTACAACATCGGTGTGCTGCTATCACTTCACACGTCCCTCCTTCTGGCAAGAGAGAAAGAACAGGGACACTGATTAGAAATAACTCAGTGACTATTCGAGCCCCTGGGAGTGCATGTAGCGGGGTTGAGGAAAGTAATTGAAATTATAGAAACAGTTTCCATGAAATACAATTACAACAGGACTCTCTTCTACTACGTGTAATCACAGAGAGGACAGTGCTGTACTTCCAAACCAGCAAAGAATACCAATGGATAGCCCTCAAGATGTGGCAATTCTGGCCTGTAGGTATTGACAGGCAATAAAGCAATGAATGCCTGCAACTAACACACCCAATAAAGATGCTGCCTGATTTAAATGCATATTTTGGGAGCCATCTTCTGTGTTATCATCACATTTAAGATTCTCTGAGTTCTATTGACAAGTGACACTCCAGTGATACAGAAGCTACAGTGCCAGAAAAACTGCCCAGAAATCAGCTCTTCCTTCCATTGCCTGCCTACTCTCAAGGGGGGCTAAATAGAAAATCTATTCGGGACATATTTCCCAAATCTAGACTTCATCCGCAAATGAAAGAAAGAATTGCTGGAGAAAATGGGTAGGTGCTTTAAACAATGTCTCAAATTGCAGTCCTGGTCATATAGCTTGACTTAATTGTAACAGCTCATCCATGCATTCATCAGAATTTATTGGCAAACTAATGTATGTCACTCTCCACTACGATCTTAGCAGGTGAACTGCCGGCTCTGCATAAAGGCTGATAAGCATCCAAGTGGGTCTTTCCCCAGAAATCAGCTAAATCAGCTAAGTCAGATCTCTAGAGACACGCAAAAGATACATCAAGTGACCAGAAACCAGGAATCAACTTTCTCAACATCAAATTTGGAGTTCAGAATAGACCCAGACCATTTAGGATTCTTGGCATTTAGGATGCAGTTGGCAAAAATTCACCAAGCATTTGTTAAGCAACCTCTATATTCAAATTACTGTGTGATAAACTATATGGATGAGAATACATCTCCTGTACATAGAGGATACATATGGACACTTAGAAAACATTGTGAAAAAGAAAAGGAGGGAGAAAGGAAGGAGAGAAGACTTAAGACACAGCTTCATCCTTTCATCCTGTCCTCTGAGAACTGTGTAATGCAGAGATCCTCAGTGCAGTGGTGGTGGGGTGTGATGTTGCTCCCTCCCCCATAATAATAGCTGGCCAGTTTGGAGATATTTCTGATTGTCATCACTGGTTGGAGCACACAGCTACTTGCATCTTTCAGGTAGGAAGCAGGGCTATGTTAAACATCCCACAATGCCCAGGATGGCCTCCCATAGAAAGAATGATCTGGCTCAAAAGATCGATATTGTGAAGGTGTTGAGAAACCCTGGCCTAACATGAAAGAAACGCAAGAGTCTCTGATTTTGAGTAGACTAATTATGTTTCTCTCCATAGGAGGGAAGAGTTCAGGCTTTCATATCAGCCTCTTTTAGTTTGAATCTCGGCTCTGTCATTTACTGAATGCCTTAGTTTCCTCATCTGTAAAATGGGAATAATAATAACACCTGTATCACAGGGTTGTGTGAGTATAAACAGAGAGAACACATGTAAAGGGGTTAGTGCCGAGCCTGACATATGGTAGAGTCTGTATATACTTCCTATAATAAGAATACCAGAGTGACTAGATATTATTTATATCTTTGTAGGTGCCAACAAAGGTATAAATTTATATCTTTGGTGCCAACAAAGATATAAATAACATATTTTCTGTCTTAGAGGGATTGAAAATATGGTTTCTTCTGGAATACTCACTCCTACCTCCCATCCCTCCAACCTCCTCACTCCAACACAAATGATTTTGCCAGTTAACTCTCCTTAGAGCTCAACTCAAAGGTCAGTTCCTTAGAGAATGCTCCTCACGTCCACCTTTGTTCATTCTATTAGCACCCTACACATTTCCTGTGTTTAGTTGTTCATGTCTGTGCCCCAGCCAAACTGTAAGCTTGACTGGGGTCAAGGTTGTCACTTGTTTCCTCACAGCAATGAATGGGAATTTTTGGAACAAAGGACTGGTGTGGTACAGGTATTTCTCTAGGGCAACCACCTTGGTAAGCTATATGCAGGAGGAGTTGGAGAAGTACAAGGTAGCGAAGGAGAAGAAATAAATGGCTCGTGCAAAACAATGACTAGAAGAAAGAAGGCTGCAACTTGTTCATGGAAGAGTGCCTTACTATCTCCCCATGCACGACACTGGGATTCAAGTTAATGGAATAGGGCTAATCATATATTACACTCTTTAACTCAGACACCTGCAATCATGTCACTTTAGCTTATAATTGTCAGCTACAAATACCCTCCGTCAAGTCAGTAACAGCTAGTTCGACACTTCACAAAAATGCCACTAATTTTAAAGTCACCTCTTGGCTCTAATACAAGAGTGGAGCAATATTTATGATTGAAAATGGCACAAGGCACATGAAAGCTCTCAGGATGTATTTTGAATCTCATTTGATTTACAGTCAAGTCAACGGACACAATGACAGACAAGCCAGATCGCCTGAGTTACTGCACTGAGTTAAATAATACTGACAACAAGGTGGGCACTGAAGGTCCAAAGCCTGTCCCTCATGGCACTGTTGTCAAAGAGCCAAAGGAATGGTTCTCTGCTACTCTTGGAGCTCAATGCCATTTCTGGAGCTCTGATTTGGGTGCTGGATGCTGTATTAATTATACACATTCCAGCAACTTTACAAGGTATTGTCCCCACTTTACACATGAGAAGCTGAGGCTCAGAGGGGTTAAATAACTTGCCCAGAATCACATAAGTGTGACCCCAGTCACTAGATCCCAAAACTCAGGCTTTTTGCATCTTTTCACAAGTGGTTGTGCCTTATGGTTGAAAAACTTCCAAGAAAATGTTTGACACTTGGCTTAGAAAGGTTACCAAGGTTAAATATCCGAGCCGCCCCTCCTCCCCTAGTTGTGACTCTGACCTTATTTGTTTTGTTTGTTTGTTTGTTTTGATATGGCGTTTCGCTCCTGTTGCCTAGGCTGGAGTGCAATGGCGCGATCTCAGTTCACTGCAACCTCTGCTTCCCAGGTTCAAGTGATTCTCTTGCCTCAGCCTCCCAAGTAGCTGGGATTACAGGCATGCACCACCATGCCCAGCTAATTTTTTTGTATTGTTAGTAGAGACAGGGTTTCTCCATGTTGGTCAGGATGGTCTCGAACTCCCGACCTCAGGTGATCCACCCGTCTCGGCCTCCCAGAGTGCTGGGATTACTGGTGTGAGCCACCGTGCCCAGCCGATTTGTTATGACTCTCTCTCTCCTTGACTTTCCTCCATGGACACTGGTCACTTTGACGGTTACTGCATGAGCACCCCAGGCATGTACCCCATGAGGGTCACTGTATCACCTGAGACATGCTCCCAACAGATCTCTGGCTCACCCACTCCTCACTCCATCATTGCTCAAATGTCACTTAATCAGAGGCACACTTGACCTGTCTACTTAAAATAAATCATACTCCCCTTAGCAAGCACTCATGAGCTCCCTTGCTTTATGTCCCCTCACCCCCCTGCCCCCAACACCTGTAACTTTCAAACACAGTATATAATTTTCTGATGACATTATTGTCTGTGTGTCCCATTGGAAATCAAACTCTTCCAGAACATGGATTCTTATTGTTTTATGTATTCAACAATGTCTCACATATTATTATCAAGGTTTAAAATGTGCTTTTAACACATATTTCATTTAATTTTCAAAGTAGTTGAAAGATGGAGATAGAACTATTGTTATTTCCATTTTCTAGAGATGATACAGACTTACAGCAAGCAATATAGCCATGCAACCAATGGTAATAGTAATAATATTAAAGAAAGTAATCATTTATTGAGTTTTTCCTATGTGCCCAATACCATAATAAACACATCACAAATCTTTATTTTACAGGAGAAGCAAATGAGACCAAGAGTGACTTAGAAACTTGCCCATGTTTCAACCTACAGAATGGGAGAAAAATTTTACAATCTACCTATCTGACAAAGCTAATATCCAGAATCTACAATGAACTCAAACAAATTTACAAGAAAAAAATCAAACAACCCCATCAAAAAGTGGGCAAAGGATATGAACAGACACTTCTCAAAAGAAGACAATTATGTAGCCAACAGACACATGAAAAAATGCTCATCATCACTGGCCATCAGAGAAATGCAAATCAAAAACACAATGAGATACCATCTCACACCAGTTAGAATGGTGATCATTAAAAAGTCAGGAAACAACAGGTGCTGGAGAGGATGTGGAGAAATAGGAACACTTTTACACTGTTGGTGGGACTGTAAACTAGTTCAACCATTGTGGAAGTCAGTGTGGCAATTCCTCAGGGATCTAGAACTAGAAATACCATTTGACCCAGCCATCCCCTTACTGGGTATATACCCAAAGGACTATAAATCATGCTGCTATAAAGACACATGCACACGTATGTTTATTGCGGCACTATTCACAATAACAAAGACTTGGAACCAAGCCAAATGTCCACCAATGATAGACTGGATTAAGAAAATGTGGCACATATACACCATGGAATACTATGCAGCCATAAAAAAGGATGCATTCATGTCCTTTGTAGGGACATGGATGAAGCTGGAAACCATCATTCTGAGCAAACTATCACAAGGACATAAAACCAAACACAGCATGTTCTCACTCATAGGTGAGAATTGAACAATGAGAACACTTGGACACAGGGTGGGGAACATCACACACTGGGGCCTGTTGTGGAGTGGGGGTTGAGGGGAGGGATAGCCTTAGGAAATATACCTAATGTAAATGACGAGCTAACAGGTGCAGCACACCAACATGGCACATGTATACATATGTAACAAACCTGCACGTTGTGCACATATACCCTAGAACTTAAAGTATAATAATAATAATAAAAGAATATATATCCAAATTTAAAATGCAAAAGAAAAAAAAAAGAAACTTGCCCATGTTTTACCTAGCAAGGAGCCAACAGCATTGAGACCAGAACCCAGACCCTCACCCCATATACAGTGCTCTTTCCCCTGTCCCACCCTGACGTACATGCTGTCATTTCTTTGAAAAAGGAAGAGCATGGTAACTGAGAAATGACAAATGCTCCATTTTCATCAAAGACTTGTATATAAAGTCAATGACCCCAGGCCATATCTTCCTTAGGCTCACAGATGGTGGATTTACACACATGAGGCCAGGAAGGTGTTGCTCTAAATAACAGGCTCTTTGATTTTGACAAGTTGAACTATGGCCTCAATCACACATGCTGCTCAGGTACACTGGTGCAGAGCCCAGAAATAGGTCTTGGTGGACACAGTGGAACCCCACAGGACCCCAACAGTTGGAAGCTCTGATTGTCCCATCATACCCAAATCTCATTCCCAAAGTTTACATTGTAACAGACCTAGCAGACAGTCAAACGGAGCAATTTACTCTTTCAGTCTATCCTGCCCATGGAAGCCTGGGCTTGTATTAAAAAAGTAAAATTTTTAGATCTTTGGCAGGAAAAGTCACACTTACATAACTTTGCTCTAAAGACACATTTTGTGGGACTTTATGGATTATCCAAGGGGGCTCAGTTACCTCTACTCTAAGAAAGGAGATATTCTATTTTTAAAATTTGGTATAATGATCTATTCTTCACAGAGATTCTTCTGCTAAGGAAAAAGTGAAATCAATCATACTTAGGTGATTATCAGCTATCTAAAGGTAGTATTAAATGACAAATATTTGATTGACACATTATTAACTAAAGGCTAGGCTTTATTCAGATTCTTTTAGCTTTTACATAATATACTTTCCTGTTTCAGGGTCCCATCAAAGATATCACATTACATTTAGATGGGTAGATGATTGAACAAAGTGAAAAATGAATAACAAATCTGCCATGGATTTTTGCATGATCAAATAATATGGAACCTAACCAAGAAGGGTGTATGCCTTTGGTATAGCAGAGTATATATACAGAGTATAGTATGCTTGTAAAATACACACCGTCCCACATTCCTATGTGTTTTTTACTTTTTGGCTACATCAAGAGCCCACCTTTACTTGGGCCCACCCATGATACAGTGAGAAGGTGATCAAATTCTATAAGGACATAAAATGACATACAATTCCTATTATAACCCAGAGATAAAATTTTTCAAGACTCCCTCAGACAAAAAGGTTTTACTTATCTATTGTCCCCATCAGCTGGCTTCTTGGAAAAAGAGAAAGGAAACCAAAATGTTCCCCCAGAGTTTCTCCCAATGAAAGGGAAGAGTTAAGTTTGTCACAACCTTTCTGGAAATTAGGAAATGTGTATTTTAATCCAATGTATTTGTATTTTAAGGTTTACCTTGTGAACTATCCTTTCAAACTTAACTGCCAATGTTATTTCAGAATGATAATATTTGTCATGCAAATATCTTTCGGACTTTTCCTTGGTGTCAATGCCTATCCATTTCTAAATTTCATCTCAATCCAAGTCAAAATGATTTCAAGATGATCTATGGTTTCTCAAAGCTAAGTCATTTAGGTGCTTCCTTAGAAAATGCAGCTTCCTTTTTTTTTTTTTTTTTTTTTTTTTTTTGCTTATGGAAAATGGTCTCTTTTTTGGATTTCACCCAGGATCTGTAGATCTAAAAAACAAGACAGATGAAGTAACCTATTATCTAATGGCAGAGGATATAGAATAAAGAACAGGCTAGTATGGAGGTTGTTTGTACTACTCAGATTTTCCAGATTATTGTTTCTGTTATCAGTTAATCTGCAGAAAACATACATCTAAAATATCTATAAAATTAGCCCAAAACCCTAAATCTAGCATTATAAGGGATCCCATTGTTCTTTCCAACTAGGAAGTAAATGCCGTAATTATCTGGCTAATGCACACCGATCTGGAAAAGTTAGATGTGTTAAATGTACTCTGCTTCCCAGTTCTCTTTCTGCCACAAATCTTCAAAACAGTGGACTTTCTTCTCATTCCTTTTGCCCATGTTGACCCTGGTGTTAAGGGGAAGGGCCCCTGCAAAAAAAAACTCCATGGGGCATCTCTCTAGTTTCCCAACTGCTCTTTTCTCTTGGGTTTGTTAGAGCCCTGAATACATTATCAAACCTATTTTTAACAGGAAAAGAAAGTTTCTAATATCCAAAAAAGAGAAAAAGATAGCATTTCAAGATTATTTCCGGCAGCAGCAACTCTGAGCTGGAGAAGTTAAAAAAATGCCAAGTCCAATATGCTCCTAGCAATGGATGCCTCCTTCCCAGCTCAATGCATCACTGTCTTGAGCTGTACAAGTGAGGAAATAAGGAAGATAAATTGCGAAGGATAATGTTTCTTTTAAAAGGGTCCCCACTGGTGACAATTATGTGTCATGATGGAAAGGGAAGAAGAGGTTAGGAATGACTGGCAGGCAGATGACTAAAAGCTTGACAACTGGCATTGTAAGTCAGGGTTTGCCCCCAGATCTGATATTTAATAGAAATAGCTCATACCAACCAACTGGATCACTCTGGGCTACAAACTGGGTCAAATTTTTTGAATGGACACCTATGGGAACTTGCTAATGTCCGGTCCTTTTCATCTGCCAGGGAATTGGACATTCAGTAGTATCTTTTGCTGTTGGTGATTGTATTAGTCTGTTTTCACACTGCTATAAAGATACTACCAGAGACTGCGTAATTTATAAATAAAAGAGGTTTAACTGACTCACAGTTCTGCATGACTTGGGAGGCCTCAGGAAACTTACAATCATAGTAGAGTGTGAAGAGAAAGCAAGTACCTTCTTAAAAATGTGGCAGGAGAGAGAGTGCAGGGGAAATGACCACTTTTAAAATCATCAGATTTTATAAGAACTCCCCCACCATCATGAGAACAGCATGGGGGAAACCACCCTCATGATCCAATCACCTCCAACTAGGTCCCTCTCTTGACATGTGGGGATTACAATTCGAGATGTGATTTGGGTGGGGACATAGTGCCAAACCATATCTATCAGTGGTTTCGTGTCCAAGAACAAGCATAGCCAAACAACTTTAAATTATCACAACAGCAGACTTTCCGGGAAAGAAGAAAATATGCTAAGGGGGGAGTGTAAATTGGAATAGAGAGAATTGCTTCAAAAATAAAAAGACAGGGAATATAAGCCTAAGCCCTGTACATGTACATGTGTGTGGGTATTGCTGTGGTGGCCTTCCTGAACCATACTGTGAGTTATATTCTACTGTGTATGAGCCTACATCTCCTACATAATTCTTGTACAATAATATTTATAGTGTGCATGATTTTGATTTTTAAAAAATAATGTCTTGCTTTTCCTATAAGGAGGAAGGACAACAATTTTTTTCTGTTTTACCACTATTCCAGTACTAAGCTTGAAATCTGGCACTTGTTTGGTATGTAAATAGTTGTTGAATGAAACTTTTCCTCAAAGACTCACTTTTGACCCCCATTATATGTTCTCTTAGCAAGCTGAACTTTTCTTTTTCAGCCTGACTCCCAACTGGAATTATGGGCTTGTTGTCTAGCCTGTTTGGCTGGGCACTCCACGCTGGCAGGGGGACCACATCTTGTTTAATTCTTTATCTCTTGTGCCTGGAATAATAGTGGGCAGTCACACATTTACTAAATGATTAAATGACTGAATAATGAAAGGAAGGAAGGAAGGAAAGAAAGAGAGGGAGGGAAGAATATGTGGAATGTAAAGGGAAAGAAAAGGAAAATAGGAAGGAAACGGTAGAAGAAGAAAGACAGAATGTATAAATTAATCCTTTTTCGGGAACCTTTTCTGAATATCCATTATGTGGATATGTTCACAAAGATGAATTTGAATGATAAGTGTAGCTTTTGCAAAGATGAGAACTTCCAATATACCTTCTAGAGAAATCAACTTGGGATTTTGGTTGGGGATCGAGTCATAACTTACAAAGGTAAAGCTTTTTACTCTAAGTGAAATAGCTTTAAAATGAAATAGCAATTAAAAGTAACTATGAGTAAACCCCAGTTCTCATTAATAGGCCAGGATATATGCTTATAGCCAAAGACAACTTTTGGAGAAAATGAATAAACCATATTTAAAGAAAGTTAAGATGGACATGATTATTAGAATCCTTGCATTTCCACTTTATTACAAACGGTTCCTTTCTTTAAAAGCTGTAATATGTAAGAAAAATCGCAAATTTTTTTCAGAGTCACTTTTACAGGACTTTTTGATCAGGGTTGTATAAGTAGCTTTTTTGGAATTCATCATAGTGGATGTCAGAAATGCATATTTAATACTGTGTTAAAAATGCTTTATTGACCCAATGGACTGGAAAGAAGCTCTGAGTGTCTTTGTCTGTAAATCATTGACAAGAGAGACACTAATGGATCTTTAAGCATGTTTTGGTTGAGGAGGGCAAAATAGCTGCTTGATTTGTTTATGCTTGAGATTAAACAAATTCCCATCCTTTCTCTCCCAGCGTCCTCGGGTATGTAAAGGAAAAAAGTAGGAAAAAGGAAGAAATTCTGGGCAGGACAACCATGTTTGAGGCAGGGTAACATAATGGATAGGATCACAGATTCCAGAGCCAGGCTGCCAAGACTCAAGTCCTGGGTCTGCTGCTTCCTATTATTTTCCATTCTATATTTCAAGATTCTCATCTGTAGAATGTGGATGACAGCATCAACTTTACAGGGTTGTTTTAAGAACTACATTATTGCCTAGCTGGGTCAACGGTCTTGGTTTAAGAGTAAGGTTGAGGGATATCCAAAGGGGATTTAGGTCAAGAATATTGCATCCTATAGTGAACAGTAGACATATTATAGCTATTTTTCTAAGCCTTATTTCATTTCAATTCTTGTCCTAATCACAGTAGAATACAACGTATTTATTTTAGTTGTTAGCTCAGGGAAGCTGAAGGGCATTCATGCTGTGATTCAGTTTCCAGAGACTAACACTGACATCCAGGGTGAATGCCCTGGATTGCAATAATTCTTATACTTATCAGGTATAAGAATTAAATAAATACAGGCAAAGTGATTATAATAATACCTGGTTCAGAGTAGGCATGAAAATTTACTCTGATATTCCTAATACTATTGAAATTATCATCTTTGACCAGGTCAGAATTATTGGTGGGAAAAATATAACTCTTATTTTTTTCCCTTTTTTCACCAGTATGGACTACTCCTCACTCTTACCTTTCTACTCTCATTCCAGGCTAATCACGGAGAAACTGCATTTAGGCATCATTATCTCCCTGAAATAAAATTGCTAAAAGTAAGGTAATACCATAATCAACTCAACACCCACCCACTAGATTTCTTCAATTTTTAAAAGAAGAAAATGGCTTATACGTTGGATATGTTGAAACTCTACTGCAGAAATAACTTTTAGCAACTGGTCTACCCCCACGGAAATACATTTCACCCAAAGGTGCACCAATGAGGTTACAAGAACACACTTGATTCCTTACTGCTCTTTACATATTGTGGAACGTTTACTCTCTCCCAACAAGGATGCATCAGAGAGCATGAGGAAAGGGAACTCATGTAATGGATTGGACATCAGACTGCCTTTGGGCTACTCTTAGATCTGCCTTCAAATTTTTGTTAAAATAAGGCTGAGGATATATCTCCACTTTTCTATTCTCTGTCCTCAAATTTGCTTGCTTGATGTAGACTTTCCTTCAATACATTCCAAATTAATGCAATCTCAGAAATGAAACAACTGAAGGGGAAGTTTCTTCCTCAAAGTGGGGCATTCACCCTGGATGTCAATATTAGTCTCTGGAAACTGAATCACAGCTTCCCTGAGCCAACATCTAAAATGAATAAGTTGTATTCTACTGTGATTAGGACAAGAATTGAAATGAAATAAGGCTTAGAAAAATAGCTATGTTTACGTTCATTCTAGGGTGCAATATTCTTGACTTAAATCCCCTTTGGATCTCCCTTGACCCTATTCTTAAACCAAGACCATTGAACCAGCTAGGCAATAGTTGATTAGGCTTTCCTTCACCAGTGCTATCCTTTAGGGCTGAGAATGACATGGAAACAATTTCCAGAACAGACATAGGCCATGCTATTTTATATGAATAACTCCTCTGGCTATACTAATTTTTCTAAAATTATATAAAACACTGACATAAAAGATTGAATATACTAATATCTAATATAATTTTGAATAATTAACATCACTTTGGTTACTAGCTGGATGAATTTGGAGCAAGTTGTAACCTCTAAGCCCTCGTCCCTGTAAGCAAAATGCCTAAATTTAACGGATACTGTAAGCATTAGAGATTGTATATGAAAAGTAATTAATAAATCGAGCAGCACATAGTAGGTATACTATAAATAAGGGCTGCCATTCTCCTTGTTATTAATATAAAAATTGAAACCCAATTTCAAAGGCAACACTGGAGGAGGATGAAAGGGTAGAATTCTGAAATGCTGGAAAATGGAGTCATTTGCCTTTTAGGTTCCAGGTTGCAAAGACCCCAAATTTCTGAGCTCTTCCTGCAGTGGTGGGGGGCCTAACGTGTTCTTTCCATTGCATACTCACTTTGTCTAGTCTTTTTTTTTTTTTTTTTTTTTTTTTTTTTTTTTTTTTTTTTGAGATAGAGTCTCACTCCATTGCCTAGGTTGGAGTGCAGTAGCATGATCACAGCTCACTACAGCCTTGGCCTCCCAGGCTCAACTGATCCTCCCACCTCAGCCTCCCATGTAGCTGGAACTGCAAGAACATGCCACTATGCTTGGCTAATGTTTTGATTTGTATTTTTGTAGAGATGGGCGTCTCCCTTTGTACTCCCTATTTATTACTCCTAGGTTACAAACCACGCTGGTCTCGATCTCCTAGGTTCAAGCAATCCTCCCATTCTCATGTGATCCTCCCACCTCAGCCTCCCAAAGTGCTGGAATTACAGCTTTGAGCCACTGTGCCTGGCCTGACTTGTCTACTCCTACCTCTTTATTCATTTTTGTTCTATGTTTCTTTATAACATTTATTTAATGATATACAAGCAGGAATACATACTGAGAAAGAAGCCCAACAATAATCATTAACTTCTTTTTATTCTCTTAAAATGAGATTCTTCCATTATTGTTCACAGATAAGTGTAATGGATGTTAAAACGAACATGGGTGGTGATTACAAACAAACTCCTTTATGAAGATATAAAGGTACAGTCAACAACAAAAAAGCAGACACTGCAATATGATGACTCTGAATCCATCACTTCTAAACCATAACTATTTTATGATATTTCTTTTCTCCAGCTAAATGAAGAAAATGCCATTGGAATTTTTTTCCAATGGAAAAAATGGAACAACATTTTTGAGTTGGCTTAGAAGTGAAGATGAAAAGATCAAAACAAAATCTGAGATACTCAAGGAAGAAGTGGCTGTAAAATACTGTCCACTTTAGGGCCAGATGCCCGTCAGTTGGTCCTCTTGCTGAGCCATAAACTGATCTCAAACTGCAAATCCAGCCATCCTTTTTTTTTTTTTTTCTTTTTGAAGCAGAGTCTCGCATTGTCACCTGGGCTGGAGTGCAGTGGCACAATCTCAGCTCACTGCAAACTCTGCCTCCTGGGTTCAAGCGACCCTCCTTCCTCAGCCTCCCAAGTAGCTGGGATTACAGGCACCTGCCACCACGCCTGGCTAATTTTTCTGTTTTTAGTAGAGACGGGATTTCACTATGTTGGCCAGGCTGTCTTGAACTCCTGACCTCATGATCTGCCCACTTCGGCCTCCCAAAGTGCTGAGATTATAGGCGTGAGCCACCACACCCAGCCCTTTCTCTTTTTTTTGGTCCTATAGGAGAACTGCCCACAACTCCATAGATGTTAGATTTTACTTTCATCTATGGACCACTTACTAACCACCTCCTAAATAAACTGTTAAATGTTTTAGAAATCTGTTATACAGACACTAAATTAGTGTTTTGCTTATGTCTAGCATATTCCATAATTGAGGATTTTGTGAAGAAGTTGTCTCTACAGCATCAATGAATGGCATTCTTTTAAATCTCAGCAGGTCTGTGATTGGTAGGATGGTTGAGAGCACAGTGTTTGAGATTGAATTTTGGGGTCATTGACTGGGTTTCAACTGCTTCCACCCTTTATTAGCTGGATTTATCTCAGGAAAATCATACAAGCTTTCTTTTCTTAGTCTCCTCATCTGTAAAATGGGGAAAATAGTACTATAATACTTTCATCATGAGGTTGTTGTGAGGATGAATGAGTAAACACAGGGAAAGCACTTGGAAGAGTGTGGGAGTACAGGAGCAATGTGTTTGCTCTGATGCTGTTGCTATTATTAGTATTAGCTGGAGCAGCCATTAGGGATGCCAATGACTGTCTTCTCTTCCTGGGCTTATGGTAGTTACTGATCCCCTTGTGGGAGGAGGAGGCATTGACTGTTTTTAGTCAACTGGGTATTAACAGACTTGACATATCACTACCAAGCCAAGCTTTTAATTGCCTGTGCAAGACCTTCCAGGGCTCTCTTCCTGCTGGTGTGGCAGCCAGTGGTATTTCAGATCAAGGATCAACAAACTTTTTCCATAAACATCCAGATAATAAACATTTTCAGCTTTGTGGGCCATGTGGTCTCTGGAGCAACTACCAAACTTCGCTGTTATATCACAAATGCAACCTCAAATGATACATAAACAAGTTAGTGTAGCTGTATGTCAATAATATTTATGGAAATTGAAACTTGAATTTGTGTGATTTTTATGTGTCACAATTTCCAGCCATTTCAAAGGTGAAGATCATTTTTAGCTTGTGGATCATAAAAATCGGACAGTGCACCAGATTTGGCCTACAGGCCAGTTTGCCAACCCGTTTTAGACGGTGCCTGCTCCAGAAGATCTAGTCCCTGAGTAACTCCTGCAAACACAGCCACACTGATAAATCACAAGGGGCTTGTTGTATGATCAAGCAATAAACTTTTGCTGTTTGAAGCCCATGAGATTTGGAGGTTGTTGCTGAAGCTTAACAAAGCGTACTATACAGTCTACTACACAGTCATGCCTCACTTAATGACAAGGTAACTTCTAATGAATATGTCATTAAGTGATTTCATCATTGTGCTAATTCATAGAGGACACTTACACAAACCTAGATGGTATAGCCTACTACACACCTAGGCTAGATAGTATAGCCTATTACTTCTAGGCTACAAACCAGTACAGCATGCTATTGTACTGCATACTGTAGGCAGCTATAACATAATAAGTACTTGTGTATCTAAATCTATCTAGACATAGAAAAGGTACAGTAAAAATATGGTATTATACCATGTTATCTTATAGGTCTGTCGTTAACTGAAACATTGTTATGGGACAGATGACTGTATTATTCTTTAAGATGATGACAGCAAAAGAGATGCCTCCCACCCTTAACAGTATTTAAGCAGCTTCTGCAAATATGTTTACAAATAACTATTGGGTGGAGCCATTTCCAAGGCCTTCACTCAGTGAAATACAGTCTTTCAAATCCATGTCTTCCGTGCAGAACTAGAACGAGGTACTTCTGCTTAGCTTTTGCCTGTGCATGCATACCTCATCCAAGCCAAGAGTCTGGCCCTTGTCAGCTGGATATTTTATTGGTTTAGCTGAGAGGTAATAACAAAAGTATATATTTATTTATATTTTGAGGGCTGTGCCTCACATCTACAGCCAGAGAGATCAGAAAACACACATTTAGGAGAAAAGAAGGCAAACAGTAATTCTGATTTGTGTTGCACATTGTAGATGTCATTAACTATGACTCAGGTAGAAAAATTTATTACTCCCCCTTTTGACAGTGATGACAATTTAATAGTATTTGACTCTACCGAGTTACATACAGCATCCACAGACATTGAAAGAGACTGTTTATCAAGATGATAAATAAGTTTTTCTTTTCCTCTCTGGCTGCACGGATGTGATCAGAAGTCTAAGGCCGTCCGAATTAACTTAGTCTGGCCACCAGGCAGAGGCTAAGCTACCTGGGACCATCTGTGCTTGAAATGAGCTTCCCTTAACAGACCCTCTCCAGGCATGTCAGCAATAACAGAGACAAGTTTGCATGAATCAATGAGCACCGGTGCATTCAAGGTGAGCTTCGGGGTGGAGGGAAGGGAATTAGTTATACCGGAAATCCTCCTCTCTGGAAATCTCATGCTCACTAATTTCAAACTGCAGAGCTAGTTTTGTCTTCTGGGTTATGTAGCTATGGCAAAGCAGGCTGGCTAAATTCTTGACATGCCAAGAATGTAGAATGAGTTTTTATGGGGAAATTATAATAAGAAACACTTTTAAAATAAGTGTTTGTTCTTAGTATTATTGCTATTGCTAGCTGTAGCAGTTATTAATGTTATTAGTTATTTCTACTCTGTAGCAGACACCTGTTCTTTCTGCCTGCCCAGCAAACAGTCCTACTTTTACTGAAGACTGCGTTTTCTTTCTTCTAGGGAAGCCAGTGGCCTCTCTTCCCCATTTTCAGTTCATGGAGTTTGGGAGGTGCTGATTTCACCCCCTGCTCCAAGAGAGGGCACAAGACTGAAGACTGGTAATGAAGATAATGACATCTCTAGTGACCAAGTGGTTGTTAACAAGGGCTGGTACCTGGTCCAAGCTACACACAAAGAGATCCAAATGCAGAACATTTATTCTTGGGGAAGTAGTAGATTGTTTTCCTCTAAGTGTTACTGACGAAAAGACGCAAGTCTGGAGATTGCCACTATCTAAACACCATGATGGAAAAGCCTGTAGGAGAATGGAGTCAACCCAGAGGGACACTGAGTAGAGAGGTGGAGCACCTCCTGACACTATGTTAGTATTATTTGATGCCACTGTGCCTGAAGCAGGGCGCTGAACTTTAGCCAGTCAATGCGTTTTTCTCTTGATTGAGTTTGAATGAGATTTTCTGCGATTCACAATACAAAGAGCCATGAGGTACAAGTGTATTCAAAGTATCAGGAAAATTCTCTTTAGTTATCTCTTTACTTCTGGATTTGTTACAAGAAGAACTCTGTAAATGCTAAAGTTGACTGAGACACCACCCTAGCTCCAGTGTCACCTCCTCAAGGAAGCCCTCCTTAACCTCCTGATTGGGTCTGTGACACTTCCCCCTTTATCATCCTGGACTCATGACTTCCTCCACTTCAGCACATTCACAACTGCAATTTTATATGTGTTTGTGAAATACATTGTCTGCCTCTACCAAGAAGTGAAAACTCCACGAGTTGGTGGTCACGCCTGCTTTCACTGATCGGCTTATCCCAAGTGTCCAGCACAACGCCTGGCTGTGGAAATTGCTGTTGCCAACACAATATTCATTCTCTCCTTTTTCTATATGGCTAGAACAGTAATTTGCCCACACATTCAAAAATATTTTTCTGTCCTATTCACAGCTGTGGATGAACACCTGACACAGTTCTCGTCAATGGTATAAAAATGAAAGTCCGCTGAGGCCATCTAGGAAGATTGCACATTCCCGACATAGTCACTACTTCTCTTGTCTGTTTTCTTGTTTCCACCTAGTGTATTTTCCCCTCAAGTGTGTAGTTAGGAATTAATTAGGTAATTTCCATGTATAAATGTCCACTAAGTTTGATAGTTGAGTCATTACCAATAACATCTTCTATGAATCAACAGTATATATAAGATTTATACAAATATAAAAACAGATTTGTCTCTTAAAGAATCTGATTGTTTAGAGAGGAATAGAATTTAGCAGTTTCTACTTCACTCAGCCTGAATATGACTCTGTTCTCCTTATAGTTGGGAGGATTACTGGGGTTCAAATGCTGATGGTTCCTTATCAGGGCTGGAATAAGCAGCATAAGCAATAAAGCTCTCTTGAGAATCTTCATTGTATGTATAGACTTAGTTGCTAGGAATGCACTATAGTTTTGTAATTACTCTGAGTGTCATTGGCTGGAATACTGTCATTGTATTTTATAACTGGTGAATCTCAACAAATGAAACTTCTTGAACCTTAATTTACTTATCTGTAAAATGTGAATAATGATGACTATTACTATATGTAGATGAAATCCACTGTTCCTGCTTGCCTATGTCTCATTCCCTCTTTTGGTAACAGCACACCTGGTTTCCTTTGTAGAGTGACCACCCCTACCCCATTTTCAGTCGATGCAGTGCAAATGAACAACAGCTCCAGGAGTGGGATTGTGACCTGGCCAAACAGCGTAGTCTTTTCCCAGCCACAGTGAATGGTTTAAGGATAGGCTTGTCATCCAAGCTGGTTAAGTCAGACTGGACCTGGGCTGTGTGGAAACATTGGGTAAAAAGCAGCTTTATTTCTGTTGAACTTTAAAATGTGAGCTCACCTTTGGAGAGATCCTGTGTGAGTCGAGATTGAGCTGACATGGAGACCAGTGCAGAGAGGCGGTATAGATGAACCCAGCCCTTGTGACACCTTTGAGCACTAGATCCAATGCTGACAGCTCTACCTCTGTAATTTTT
Organism: Homo sapiens; assembly: GCF_000001405.40. Classification (NCBI taxonomy): domain Eukaryota; kingdom Metazoa; phylum Chordata; class Mammalia; order Primates; family Hominidae; genus Homo; species Homo sapiens. The sequence goes on along the minus strand of NC_000003.12, from coordinate 68,399,835 downwards.
GTTTCTGCATGTCAATAGATGGTCCTCCTTTTATTTGCTTCATTTAGAATTAAGTTTTAGTGTTCCAACTATGTACCTCATTGAGTAGATATGAGGACTGAATAATAAAAATGTGCATAAAGCATTTAGCACAGTGCCTAGAACACAGTAACCACTCAAAGTGGGTAGTCGTTTTTATTACTATTATTATTAATATATATCCATTATTATGAAATTATTGGAATTTTATTAGGCTAACATGAATTATGGTCCTGCAAGAATTGTTGAATATCTTTAAATTTACTGAGAGCAATTGGGAAAGGGAATCAATTAGATACAGATTTTCTGAGACTTCTACTGAAGGTGAAGTCCAAATAACTCACCATCATTGATTCCTAGCAATTGATAGTTAAACAGTCAATTGAACTGATTCTTAGTCAACTGGATGGTTGAGCCTCTGTTGTAAAGAAATCCCAAATAACAGAGAAATGAAATAATTGGCAAAATATTAATACTACAGTGAAATCTCCTGGGCTCAGCAATCTCTCAAACAGGGGTTCAAATCCCAACCCTACTACTTATAAACCATGTAAAATGGATACATTTCTTAAACTCTTTGAGCTTTGTAAAATGCACACCTTCTTCATAAGATAATCATGAAAAAGAAATGGAGTAATATGAACTGCTCAGTATAGCTGGACTTGGATTGTAAAACTTCGTAGTTATTATCACCTTTGATGTTTTAATTATATTGACTGTCATGAATAATCTAGTTCAACTCTAAAGTTATGTAAATTAGAACTTAACATTTTTATGGCCAAAAAATATTGATTAATTGTCATTTGATCAATGTAGAAGCAATGTGTGGAAAAAGAGTAATTTGGATGTTAAGTCAGTTAGACTAAATGAGAGAGAAATTTTTCTACTTTATTTAAAAGAATGCAATTTTTAGAATATAAACTTATTCCTTTAGATAAGTTGTAAATAAAGAATGAGTGACTCTGCAGTGAGAAGTCTGCAAGAAAATGAACATTCTTCTTTGATTAGATGTCAATTTGACAGCAGACATTTTATGACTGATAATCTGAAGAGCAGAATATAGTTACTGAAGTTTCAGTTCCCTGAAGAAACATTTACGTAAGTTAATGTTCGTAATGAAATAACATCAAGGAACAGCTAGGGAAAAAATACATAAATTTCAACCTAAGGTTAAAGTTTTCTTCCTCACAGTAAACTATATTCAGGTTAATGAGATTGACATGGGATCTGAAGCAATTGGGGAGGCCCAGTTGCTTTATACTCCACTTCTACTGCAGTCAATAATGCAGGAAAGACATTTGAAGGGATGCTAGCTCCAGACAGTATTTGTGAAAATGGAAGATCCTTCTAGGGTTTTTATGGTTTTAGGTTTTACATTTAAGTCTTTAATCTATCTTGAGTTAATTTTTGTTAAGGTGTAAGGAAGGGGTCCAGTTTCAGTTTTCTGCATATGGCTAGCCAGTTTTCCCAGCACCATTTATTAAATAGGGAATCCTTTCCCCATTGCTTGTTTTTGTCAGGTTTGTGGAAGATCAGATAGTTGTAGATGTATGGTATTATTTCTGATGCCTTTGTTCATTTCCATTGGTCTATATATTTGTTTTGGTACCAGTACCATGCTGTTTTGGTTACTTTAGCCTTGTAGCATAGTTTGAAGTCAGGTAGTGTGATGCCTCCAGCTTTGTTCTTTTTGTTTAGGATTGTCTTGGCTATACGGGCTCTTTTTTTTATTCCATATGAAATTTAAAGTAGCTTTTTCTAGTTCTGTGAAGAAAGTCAATAGTAGCTTCATGGGAATAACACTGAATTTGTAAATTACTTTGGAAAGTATGGCCATTTTCATGATATTGATACCATTCAGGACATAGGCATGGGAAAATATTTAATGACTAAAACACCAAAAGCAATTGTAACAAAAGACAAAATTGACAAATTGATCTAATTAAACTGAAGAGCTTCTGCACAGCAAAATAAATTATCATCAGGAAACAACAGATGCTGGAGAGGATGTGGAGAAATAGGAACACTTTTACGCTGTTGGTGGGAGTATAAATTAGTTCAACCATTGTGGAAGACAGTGTGGCAATTCTTCAAGGATCTAGAACAAGAAATACCATTTCACCCAGCAATCCCATTACTGGGTATACACTCAAAGGATTATAACTCATTCTATTATAAAGACATATGCACACGTGTGTTTATTGTGTCACTGTTCACAATAGCAAAGACTTGCAAACAACCCAAATGTCCATCAATGATAGACTGGATAAAGAAAATGTGGCACATATAAACCATGGAATACTAGTCAGCCGTAAAAGAAAGAATGAGTTTATGTCCTTTGCAGGGACATGGATGAAGCTGGAAACCATCATTCTCAGCAAACTAACACAGGAACAGAAAACCAAACACCACATGTTCTCACTCATAAATGGAAGTTGAACAGTGAGGACACATGGACACAGAAAGGGGAACATCACACACCGGGGCCTGTTGGCGGGTAGGGGGCAAGGGGAGGGACAGCATTAGGACAAATACCTAACGCATGCGGGACTTAAAACCTAGGTGATGGGTTGATGGGTGCAGCAACCCACCATGGCAGATGCATACCTATGTAACAAACCTACATGTTCTGTACATGTACTCGGAACTTAAAGTAAAACAATAAATTTAAAAAAAAGAAAGAAAACGGAAGATCCTCACGAGAACAGTCTTAGAGAAACAGCACCTTTCTCCTTTTTTTCCTCCATAGTTTTGTTTAAGTCTTTCATGGTTAATACTAAGATTTTTCCTCCAAACAAAATGGCAAACAACTAAGTATGGCTGGAGATTGGAGTGCTGGGGTCAAAATGAAGGAAGATGCCATTGAGGATGAGAGCAAGGGAAAGGGTGAAAGACAATCAGTTGTAAATTCATAGTGGACCTTAAAATTCATTTAAAAATGTTCTTATTCTATTCAGAGGACACTGAGTAGTTCTTAAAAGATTTTAACAGGTAAAATAACGTGATGAAAGCAGCATTTTAATAGAATTGTTTAAACTTTTATGGAAGGTTTGGATAACTTTATGTATGGATAAATTTTACATTATCCTTCTACTAGGCATATGCCCAAGAATAACAAATACATCCATTGAAGAAGTATGCAGAAATGTCTATGGCAGTTTTGTTGATTATAGTCCCAAATTGAAAGTAACTGTGATGTTTATCAATAGCAAAACTAAATTGTGGTATGTTACTGCAGTAGACTAGTGTACAGCAATGAGAAGGAACCATCTACTGCTACATGCAACACAGTCAATGAAAGCAGCCAGTCACCAAAGAAGATATAGTATAGAAGTCCATTTAAATAAAAGGTTCTTTTTTGTTTTGTTTTTAAAGACAAGAGTAACCTGTAGTGCTAGAAGTTGGGACAGTAGCTACCTTGGGAAAGGTAGTAGAGACAGAGAAGGGACACCAGGGATACTTCTGGATTGCTGGTAACATTCTAGCTCTTGATGTGAGTTATGGTATCATGGGTGAGTTCAGTTAATGGAAATCCACTGAGCTGTTCATTCATGACTTGTCTGTTTATATCAGTATATATTACATTTCAATTTTTAAAATTTGTCTTAAAATGAAGCAAACACTAGAATTCTGATTTATAAAATTCTCATCTCAACAGGGTTTTTACTCTAAAATAAACAAAAACCAAATGACCAAAATCAAAAGTCCTCACAAAATAATAAGGAAATATAAAGTAAATCTACAAACATTTTCCCCCAGTTTGGCAAAAATTATAAAGAATGCTAATATCAAAGTTGGTGAAGGTATGCAGACACAGACACTCTCAAACACAATTGGGGAGAATGCCAGTAGATATTTTATTATTATTATTATTATTATACTTTAAGTTCTGGGATACATGTAAGTTTGTTACATAGGTATACATGTGCCATGGTGGTTTGCTGCACCCATCAACCTGTCATCTACATTAGGTATTTCTCCTAATAGTATCCCTCCCTTGCCCACCATCCTCCAACAGGCCCCAGTGTGTGATATTCCCCTCCCTGAGCCCATATGTTCTAATTGTTCAACTCTCACTTATGAGTGAGAATATGCAGTGTTTGGTTTTCTCTTCCTGTGTTAGTTTGCTGAGAATGATGGTTTCCAGCTTCATCCATGTCCCTGCAAAGGACATAAACTCATTCTTTTTTATGGCTGCATAGTATTCCATAGTGTATATGTGCCACATTTTCTTTATCCTGTCTATCATTGATGGACATTTGGGTTGTTAGCAAGTGTTTGCTCTTGTGAACAGTACTGCAGTAAACGTATGTGTGCATGTGCAGTAAACGTATGTGTCTTTATAGTGCAATGATTTATAATCCTTTGGGTATATAGCCAGTAATGGGATTGCTGGGTCAAATGGTATTTCTAGTTCTAGATCCTTGAGGAATGGCCACACCATTTCCCACAATGGTTGAACTAATTTACACTCTCACCAACAGTGTAAAAGCGTTCCTATTTCTCCACATCCTCTCCAGCACCTGTTGTTTCCTGACTTTTTAATAATTGCCATTCTAACTGGTTGAGATGGTATCTCATTGTGCTTTTAATATGCAATTCTCTAACGACCAGTGATGAGTTTTTTTTTCATATGTTTGTTGGCCGCATAAATGTCTTCTTTTGAAAAGTGTTTGTTTATATCCTTTGGCCATTTTTGATGGGGTTGTTAGCTTTCTTCTTGCAAATTTAAGTTCCTTGTAGTTTCTGGATATTAGCCCTTTGTCAGATGAATATATTGCAAAAATTTTCTCCCATTCGGTAGGTTGCCTGTTCACTCAGATGATAGTTTCTTCTGATGGGCAGAGCTCTTTGATTTAATTAGATCCCATTTGTCAATTGTGGCTTTTGTTGCAATTGCTTTTGGTGTTTAGTCATGAAGTCTTTGCCAGTGCCTATATCCTGAATGGTATTTGCCTAGGTTTTCTTCTAGAGTTTTTATGGTTTTAGGACTTACATCTAAATCTTTAATCTACCTTGAGTTATTTTTTGTATAAAGTGTAAGGAAGAGGTTCAGTTTCAGTTTTCTGCATATGGCTAGCCAGTTTTCCCAACACCATTTATTAAATGGGGAATCCTTTCCCCATTGCTTGTTTTTGTTTGTGGAAGATCAGGTACTTGTAGATGCATAGTGTTATTTGTGAGGCCTCTGTTCTGTTCCACTGGTCTATATATCTGTTTTGGTACCAGTACCATGCTGTTTTGGTTACTGTAGTCTTGCAGTATGGTTTGAAGTCAGGTAGCATGATGCCTCCAATTTTGTTCTTTTTGCTTAGGATTGCCTTGGTTGTATGGGCTCCTTTTTGGTTCCATATGAAATTTAAAGTAGTTTTTTTTCTTATTCTGTGAAGAAAGTCAATGGTAGTTTGATTGGGATAGCATTGAATCTATAAATTACTTTGGGGAGCATGGCCATTTTCACGATATTGATTCTTCCTATCCATGAGCATGGAATGTTTTTCCATTTGTTTGTGTCCTCTCTTATTTCCTTGAGCAGTGGTTTGTAGTTCTCCCTGAAGAAGTCTTTCACACACCTTGTAAGTTGTATTCCTAGGTATTTTATTCTCTTTGCAGCAATTGTGAATGGGAGTTTACTCATGATTTGGCTCTGTTTGTCTATTATTGGTGTACAGGAATGCTTGTGATTTTTCCACATTGATTTTGTATCCTGAGACTTTGCTGAAGTTGCTTATTGGCTTAAGGAGTTTTTGGATTGAGACGATGTGGTTTTCTAAATGCATATTTCTTTCTCTTGACTGATTGCCCTGGCTAGAACTTCCAATACTATGTTGAATAGGAGTGGTGAGAGAGGGCATCCTTGTCTTGTGCCAGTTTTCAAAGGGAATGCTTCCAGCTTTTGCCCTTTCTGTATGATATTGGCTGTGGTTTTGTCATAAATAGCTCTTATTATTTTGAGATACATTCCATCAATACCTAGTTTATTGAGTGTTTTTAGCATGAAGGGGTGTTGAATTTTATCAAAGGCCTTTTTTGCATCTATTGAGATAATCACGTAATTTTTGTCATTGATTCTGTTTCTGTGATGGATTATATTTATTGATTTGCATATGTTGAATCAGCTTTGCATCCTCGGGATGAAGCTGACTTGATTGTGCTGGATAAGCTTCTTAATGTGCTGATGGATTCGGTCTGTCAGTATATTATAGAGGATTTTTGCATTGATGTTCAACAGGGATATTGCCCTGAAATTTTCTTTTTTTCATTGTGTCTCTGCCAGGTTTTTCTATCAGGATGATGCTTGCCTCATAAAATAACTTAGGGAGGAGTGCCTCTTTTTCTGTTGTTTGAAATAGTTTTTGAAGGAATGGTACCAGCTTCTCTTTGAAAGTCTGGTAGAATTTGGCTATGAATCCATCTAATCCTGGCTTTTTTTTTTTTTCCATTGGTAGGCTATTAATTACTGCCTTTATTTGAGAACTTGCTATTGGTCTATTCAGGGATTTGACTTCTTCCTGATTTAGTCTTGGGAGGGTGTATGTGTCCAGGAATTTATCCATTTCTTCTAGATTTTCCAGTTTATTTGTGTACAGTTGTTTATAGTATTCTCTGATGATAGTTTGTATTTCTGTGGGATCGGTGGTGATATTCCCTTTATCTTTTTTTTCTCTGTGTGTGTGTCTACTTGATTCTTCTCTCTGTTCTTATTAGTCTGGCTAGTGGTCTATTTTGTTAATATTTTCAAAAACCAGCTCCTGGACTCATTGATTTTTTGGAGGATTTTTCATCTCTCTATCTCCTTCAGTTCTGTTCTGATCTTAGTTATTTTTTGTCTTCTGACAGCTTGTGAATTTGTTTGCTCTTGCTTCTCTAGTTCTTTTAATTGTGACGTTAGGGTGTTGATTTTAGATCTTTCCCACTTTCTCATGTGGACATTTAGCGCTATAAATTTCCCTCTAAACACTGCTTTAGCTGTGTCCCAGAGATTCTGGTACGTTGTGTCTTTGTGTTCACTGGTTTCAAAGAACTTATTTATTTCTGCCTCATTTTGTTATTTACTTAGCAATCATTCAGGAGCAGGTTGTTCAGTTTCCATGTAGTTGAGTGGTTGTGAGTGAGTTTCTTAATCGTGAGTTCTAATTCGATTGCACTGTGGTCTGAGAGACTGTTCTGATTTCCGTTTTTTTGCATTTGCTGAGGAGTGTTTTATTTCCAAGTATGTGGCCAGTTTTAGAATAAGTGCGATACGGTGCTGAGAAGAACGTATATTCTGTTGATTTGAGATGGAGGGTTCTGCAGATGTCTATTAGTTCTGCTTGGTCCAGAGCTGAGTTCAAGTCCTGAATATCCTTGTTAATTTTCTGTCTCATTGATCTGTCTGATATTGACAGTGGGGTACTAAAGTCTCCCTCTATTATTGTGTGGGAGTCTAAGTCTTTTTGTAGGTCTCTAAGGACTTGCTTTATGAATCTGGGTGCTCCTGTATTGGATGCGTATTTATTTAGGATAGTTAGCTCTTCTTGTTGCATTAATCCTTTACCATTATGTAATATCCTTCTTTGTCTTTTTTGATCTTTGTTGGTTGAAATTCTGCTTTATCAGAGACTAGGATTGCAATCCCTACTTTTTTTTTTTTTTTTTTTTGCTTTCCTAAATATTCCTCCCTCCCTTTATTTTGAGCCTATGTGTGTCTTTGCACATGAGATCGGACTCCTGAATACAGCACACTGATGGGTGTTGACTCTTTATCCAATTTGCCAGTCTGTGTCTTTTAATTGGGGCATTTAACCCATTTACATTTAAGGTTAGTATTGTTATGTGTGAATTTGGTCCTGTCATTATGATTCCAGCTGGTTATTTTGCCCATTAGTTGATGCAGTTTCTTCATAGTGTTGATGGTCTTTACATTTTGATATGCTTTTGCAGTGGCTGGTACTGATTTTTCCTTTCCATGTTTAGTGCTTCCTCAGGAGCTCTGGTATGGCAGGCCTGGTGGTGACAAAATCCCTCAGCATTTGCTTGTCTGTAAAGGATTTTACTTCTCCTTCACTTATAAAGCTTAGTTTGGCTGGATATGAAATTCTGAGTTGAAAATTATTTTCTTCAAGAATGTTGAATATTGGACCCCACTCTCTTCTGGCTTATAGGGTTTCTGCAGAGAGATCCACTGTTAGTCTGGTGGGCTTCCCTTTGTGGGTAACCCGACCTTTCTCTCTGGCTGTCCTTAACATTTTTTCCTTCATTTCAACCATGGTGAATCTGACGATTATGTGTCTTACGGTTGCTCTTCTTGAGGATTATCTTTGTGGTGTTCTCTGCATTTCCTGAATTTGAATGTTGGCCTGTCTTGCTAGGTTGGGGAAGTTCTCCTGGATAATATCCTGAAGAGTATTTTCCAACTTGGTTCCATTCTCCCTGTCACTTTCAGGTACACCAAACATAGGTCTGGTCTTTTCACATAGTCCCATGTTTCTTGGAGGCTTTGTTCATTCCTTTTCATTCTCTTTTTTCTCTAATCTTGTCTTCATGCTTTATTTCATTAAGTTGATCTTCAGTCTCTAATATCCTTTCTTCTACTTGATTGATTTGGCTATTGACACTTGTATATGCTTCACAAAGTTCTCACGCTGTGTTTTTCAGCTCCATCAGGTCATTTATGTTCTTCTCTAAACTGGTTATTCTAGTTAGCAGTTCCTGTAACCTTTTATCAAGGTTCTTAGCTTCCTTGCATTGGGTTACAACATGTTCCTTTAGCTCAGAGGATTTTTGTTATTACCCACCTTCTGAAGCCTACTTCCGTCAATTCATCAAACTCATTCTCAGTCCAGTTTTGTTCCCTTGCTGGCCAGGAGTTGTGATCCTTTGGAAGAAAAGAGGTGTTCTGGGTTTTGGAATTTTCAGCCTTTTTGTGCTGCTTTTTCCCCTTCTTCGTGGATTTACTGACATTTGGTCTTTGATTTTGGTGACCTTCAGATGCAGTTTCTGCATGGCCATCCTTTTTGCGATGTTGATGGTATTGCTTTCTGTTTGCTAGTTTTTCTTCTAACAGTCAGTCAGATCCCTCTTCTGCAGATCTGCTGGAGTTTGCTGGAGGTCTACTCCAGACCCTGTTTGCCTGAGTATCACCAGCAGAGGTTGCAAAACAGCAAAGATTGCTGCCTGCTCCTTCTTCTGGAAGCTTTGTCCCACAGGGCCACCTGCCAGATGCCCGCTGCCTCTCCTGTATAAGGCACCTGTCAACCCCTGCTGGGAGGTGTCTCCCCATCAGAAGGCATGGGGGTCAGGAACCCACTTGAAGAGGCAGTCTGTCCCTTAGCAGAGCTCAAGTGCTGTGCTGAGAGATCTGCTGCTCTCTTCTGAGCTGGCAGGCAGGAATGTTTAAGTCTGCTTAAGCTGTCCCCACAGCTGCCCCTTCCCATAGGTGCTCTGTCCCAGGGAGATGGGAGTTTTATATATAAGTCCCTGACTGGGGTTTCTCCCTTTCTTTCAGAGATGCCCTGCCCAGAGATGAGGGATCTAGAGAGGCAGTCTGGCTACAGTAGCTTTGTGGTTCTGTGGTGAGCTCTGCCCAGTCTGAACTTCCCAGAGGCTTTGTTTACACTGTGAGGGGAAAACCCTGTACTCAAGCCTCAGTAATGGCGGACGCCCCTTCCCCCACCAAGCTTGAGCATCCCAGGTTGACTTCAGACTGCTGTGCTGGCCGTGAGAATTTCAAGCCAGTGGACCTTAGCTTGTTGAGTTCCATGGGGGTAGGGTCTGCTGAGCAAGACCACTCACCTTCCTTGCTTCACCCCCCTTTCCAGGGGAGTGAACGGTTGTCACTGGCATTCCAGGCACCACTGGGGTACAAGAAAAAGTCCTGCAGCTAGCTCAGTGTCTGCCCATATGGCTGCCCAATTTTGTGCTTGAAACCCAGGGCCCTGGTGGTGTAGGCACCCAAGCAAATCTGGTCTGTGGGTTGCAAAGACTTTGGGAAAAGCGTAGTATCTGGGCCGGATAGCACCATCCCGCACAGCACAGTCCCTCATTGCTTCCCTCGGCTAGGGGAGGGAGTTTCTCAACCTCTTACACTTCCTGGGTGGGGTAACACCCCACCCAGCTTCTGCTCACCCTCTGTGGGTTGCGCCCACTGTCTAACCAGTCCCAATGAGATCAGCCAGGTACCTCAGTTAGAAATGCAGAAATCACCCGCCTTCTCTGCTGTTGTTGCTGGGAACTGCAGACCGGAGCTGTTCCTATTTGGCCATCTTGCCCGGGAATCAACCAATAGATACTTTTTAAAAGAATATAATTTGGCAGTATTTACTAATATTTCAATGGACATACCCTTTGACCCAGTAATATCAATTCTTAAAATCTCTTCTATTGATATTCTTGCAAAAGTTTACAAAGTTATGCATACAAAGATATTAAATGCCTTATTCATAATAGAAAAAATGGGACAGTTATTAAAGATAATATAAGAAATGAATACAATATTTTTAGTCACAAAGAGGCCAGGTTGATGAAAGCTTTTTGTGTATGGCCAGTGTTTCCTCTGGTAAAAAATGTGAGCCTAGAAAGCCCTGTCAAATACATATTATATTTAAGTTGACATGCGATCATTTGTAAATCAAGGCCAAGCATGTCATGGTTTTACACATACAAAGTCCCCCGAGGCAGAATAAAGACTGTCTAGGCATGTTTCCCAAAATATCAACCTACATGGATGAACTTCAAAAATACAGAACTCTCCTTATAAACGTGGACCATGTACTGCTTAGCAAACCCACAGTTTTATTTTAATTAAATAGTAATGTGACCTTTAACCCAGGGTCAGAGATACTTTTCTTACTTTCATTGTAAAACAAAAAGTTCACTCAAAAAGTATAAATTAAGTGAAAATTACAACTTAATCTTGTAAGAAACAGATTTCAAAGTAAAGCTGAAGTATTAATGGCTAATCACATGGAGATCTCTATTCTATTATGATAGAAATGTTGGCTAATTATTAAGGTTTAAAAACACCATCCAAAAGGTCCCTTCTGACCCTGAAGTTTACATTAAAAAAAAATCAGATGGCCATAAATTATTTAAAAAGTAGAATGTCTTTTTTAAGAATGATTCATTTCAGTAGAGTTGTCAGTTTCAGAGTTTTGGAATATAGGCCGAAAGCGTATGACAAAACAAAGATCCTGTTAGCACTCCATCTAACTCTGTAGATGTGGGAATTGGTTGGGAAAAGCAAATAAAAAGGATGCTGGTGGTTAGATAAAAAAAACGTCATAGGTGGCAAAATGAGCTGAATACAGCAAAAATGGAAAATTACAGAGACAAACGTTAGCTATGATATATTAGAGAAAAAATGCAAAAATATAGATGAAAATAGGCTTAGAGCAATAATGTTTAAAAAAATAGAAAGGTCTAAATTCACAGTGAATGCACATTGAGGCCTCTGTGTAATATAGTTACTAAATTTGCTAATGTGCTTTGGAGCTTTATTCATAAAAGTTTGTTACCTAAAGCAAATAAAATTTAATGAATGCAATCTTTTTTCTTTAGATCTATACTACCTTTTTATAAACATATAGTTCACATCTAGTGATACTAACGTGTTCACTCAATGCCATGTCCCCTAAAACTCTCTGGTAAAAATTGTTATTTTTCTTCATATCTCCAGCCGCCACGATTTCTCTGACCCTAATTTTTCTAATGTTAGTTAAAACAAGAGGAATTTTACGTGGTTTCTAAAAATGACATATTGAAATACTGAATATGCCTTTTCAAACTATATATAATATGCCTATTATGGAATTAAGGCTTAACATTCATTCATGAAGTAACATGAGTTATTTTAGTGGAACAGGGAAGTTCCACTTTGAATCTCAGGAATTAGTTTTAATGATATAGTCAGAAATGGTTTAGATACTTTTGTTAAACACAATAATAATTGTTTTTCATAAAAACCTAGAGCTGAATGAAATGCATATTATAAATAACCTTCCAAGGCTGTGGTCTCAGAAAGTAACCATGAGTTCCTCCACCATGAAGGGGGAAAAACAGTTTTTTGTATCCCTGTTAGAGCCTACATGTACTACTGATGGACCTCATATGGGGAATCTTTGACTACAGCAGAGAATTGCCTTTCAAATTATGTCCTGAGTGAAAGCAGAAAAACGACTCACTAAAGGAAACAGAAAATCTGGGAAAATAAATCAATCTAATACATCATCATGCCTTTATTTCCCCAGCACCCATCATAATGTCTGGCTCAGAGTTATTTACTAGTAAATGCTTGTTGAAGGTTGAACATGGAGTAAACTCATACCACAATCCTCTGTTGAGATACAACATTTCCATGGCACAGAATAGCATGAATAAAAATCGCCTGAGTGGCACTATTTAATGTAAAAAATAAATAAATACCCTAGGCTCCACGAACATTACGTTTAATCAATGACCTTAAGGAGAGGCTTATGTGTAACTGGAGAACTCCAATAATCTCTTCCTTAGTGTCTTAAAATAGCCCCCTTTTGCAAACTGAGCTATAGACTGCCATTTAGAGTCTAGCATAGAGAATGTCAGATCTGTGAGAAACCTAATTATCACTGAAAGTACAATGTCTGGATTTATAGTCACCAGAACTTTTAGTCCTGCTTTCAGCCAACAACAAAGACAGATTTTTGAAGCTGTAGATTTGAGATTTGTTCCATCACACTCTTCTTGTGCTTAAGGGCTCCATCCTTAAGAAAGTGTCTGCATGCAGACACCAAAAAAAAAAATAAAATTAGGCACAGAGTGTATGGATTTAATTTTGAACTTTATAAAGAAAATTCTGAGCACACTAGCAATCTAGATGTAGGGCAAGTATATGTATTTCCATATCAAACCAATACACACAAGAGAATGATCTTTCTTTCTAAACTAAAGAGTCTTGCAAATTGATCTCATGGGAAATTGTTCCTAGGACCTAATTCTTATGCATATAATATATTTCAAAAATGAATCAAAGGGAAATGGTATTGTCTCAAACAAAATAAGCTTCTGGCAGGCAAAGCTGCAGCTACACACGTTTCTATAAGCTTCACACCTACTAGCTACAGAGCAGACACCCAAGAGGCCAACAGAAAAGAAAGCAATAGTCTACAAAACTAATTCATCAGCTACACAGCTGGCCTTCTGGAGCCAGCATTCTTGGTGAAGGCAAACAGTTCTCTCCAGGGAAGGGAAGGATAGTTGTCAAAAAAGATGGTAGTAGAAAAACCTATCTGTAGCTAGGCCAGTCTCCTCCAGGATTGTCAGGCTAGATCATGTGCATAGCACCCTAGATGAGTTCTTAACACTTGTAAAATGGAAATGATTGACCCAAATGTGGACTTTTCAAATATGTGCTCTCCATGCTATCTACATAGGATACTAGAGACAACTAAAAAAACAAACAAAAAAAAACTCGTAACCACCTCAGTCACTACACATCACCAGAGAACAATCTAACCTAATCTAAAAAATGTGATATGATTACGATTGTGAACTGTAGTGTCATATAAAAGTGCTTCAAATTCCAGCTGTGTCATTTGTTAGTTGTAGGACTTTGGACATTTTAAGTGGTAAATCTGAGTCTTTGTTTCCTCATATAAAAAATAAGGATAACAACAGTATCTATCGTGTGTTACTGAAAAAATATTATTCATGGTGTGGAGAATAAATTTGGCACAATGTCTTGTTCATAGCAAGTCAGCAAAGTTTTTCTGTGAAGGGCCAGATAGTGAAAGTATTAGGCTCGGGGGACCATGTGAACTCTGTGGCTACTTGTAACACAAAAGCAGCCAACTTTTAGCACTGTAGGATGGCCAGAGTTAACACTAATATATTATACAGTTTCAGATAACTAGAAAAAGGATACTCAATGCTCCCAACACTAAGAAATAATCAATGTTCAAGATGATGGATATGCTAATTACCCTGATTTGCTCACTGCATGCTATATGTATCAAAACATCACTATATACCTCATAAATACGTACAATTGTATTTCAAATAAAAAAATTTGAAAAGACAAATAATTTGTAAATGAGTAAGTGTGACTGTGTTCCAGTAGGAAACTACTTAAAAAAAAAGGAGGCAAGTAGAGTTTGGCCTACAGGCTATAGTTTGTAATGGCTTCTAGATATGTTTAACAATAACATTATGAATAAATCTAGTCATAGCAAACACTTGAGATTGCCTACAACATGCCACATATTGCACTAAGTGCTTCATGCGGATTTATTCAGTCTTTATAACAACTTTCAAGGCAGAAACGAATAGTGTATCCTTTTAAAAAAAAGATAAAACAGGCCCAGAGACTTTAAGTGCCGTCTCAAAATCCCACAGCTAATACGATGAAAACCAAGGATTCAAATCTAGGTCTTCAGGTTTTGAAGTCTTGTTTTCTTAGCCACTTACTCTGACACTGACTATTATCTGCTAATAACCTGGTTTAGCAAGTACTTTAGTCTTTGATCAGGATTTATGCTGGGGAAACGCCATGTTGTTTACACAGTCATTGGAAAAGTTTTCAAAATAAGTAAAATTTATCCCACCTATGGGAAACAACTTGAAAACAGTTCTTTCCACCTTCCTCGTAATAGTCTAGATGCTACATTATCTCATGTAATCCTCAGGGGCGAAAACCCAGTGAGGTAGGCTCTATTATTACCTCCAGTTAACAGATGAGGAGTGCGAGGTTAAGAAAGGGCAACCATCTTACCCAAGGTCCCACAGTTAGTAATTATAGAAGCAGGACATGCATAGGTTCAAAATAAAGGGACACAGAATAATCCAACAAGCCAATGAAAAACAAACAAAAAAAGTAATGATTTCAATCCTTGTTTTAGACAAAACAGATTTTAAACCAACAAAGATGAAAAAAGACAAAGAAGGGCATTACATAATGGTAAAGGGTTGAATTCAACAAGACCTAAGTATCCTAAATATATATACACTCAATGCAGAAGCACGCAGATTCATAAAGAAAGTTCTTGAACACCTTAGAAGAGACTTAGACTCCCACACAATAATAGTAAGAGATTTTAACACCCCATTGACAATATTAGATAGATTATTGAGGTAGAAAATTCAAAAAGTTATTCAGGACTTGAACTCAGCACTGTACCAAATGGAACTGATAAACATCTACAGAATTCTCTACCCCAAAACAACAGAATATATATTCTTCTCATTGTCACATGGTACTTACTCTAAAATCAATCACATAATTGTAAGTAAAACACTTTTCAGCAAATGCAAAAGAACTGAAACCACAATAAACAATCTTTCTGACCATAGCACAATGAAATTAGAAATCAAAACAAAGAAATTCACTCAAAACCATACAAGTACATTTACATTGAATAACCTGCTCTGAATGGCTTTCGGTTAAATAATGAAATTAAGATAGAAATCAAGTTTTTTAAAACAATGAGAACAAACATACAACATGCAAGAATCTCTGGGACACAGCTAAAGCAGTGTTAAGATAGATTTAGAGCTCTTAAAGTCCATATCATAAAGAAAGATCTCAAGTTAACAACCCAACACCACAACAAAAAGTAGGAAACCAAGAGCAAACCAATCCCAGAGCTAGCAGAAGACAAGAAATAACCGAAATTAGAGCTGAACTGAAGAAGACTGACACATGAAAAGCCATTTAAAATATCAATGAATACAGGAGGCATTTTTTGAGAAAATTAATAAAATACCTCTACCACTAGCTAGACTAATAAAGAAGAAAAGAGAGAGGATCCAAATAAATACAATCAGAAATGAAAAAGCAAATATATTACCACTGACCCCAGAGAAATACAAACAACCATCAGAAAATATTATGAATACCTCTATGCACATAAACTAGAAAATCTAGAAGAAATGAATAAATTCCTGGACATATACATCCTCCCAAGACTGAACCAGGAAGAAGTTGAATCCCTGAATAGACCAATAATGAGCTCTGAATTAAATCAGTAATTAATGGCCTACCAACCAAAAACAGCCCAGGACCAGAAGGTTTCACAGCTGAATACTACCAGATATAAAAAGAAGAGCTGATACCATTCCTGATGAAACTATTTCAAAAATTGAAGAGGGACTCCTCCCTACCTCATTCTATGTGGTAAGCATCATTCTGATTCCAAAACCTGGTGGAGATACAACAACAACAAAAAAACTTCAGGCCAATATCCTTGATGAACATCAACGCAAAAATCCTTAACAAAACACCAGCAAACTGAATCCAGCAGCACATCGTAAGAGCTTCTCCACCCGATCAAGTAGGCTTCACCCCTGGAATGCAAAGTTTGTTCAACAGACACAAAAAAATAAATGTGATTCATCGCATAAACAAAACAAAAGACAAAAACCACATTATCTCAATAGATGCAGAAAAGGCTTTCACAAAATTCAACATTGCTTCATGTTAAAAACTCTCAATAGACTAGGTATTGAAGGAACATACCTCAAAATAATAAGAGCCATCTACGACAAACCCACAGCTGACATCATACTGAATTGGCAAAAGCTGGAACATTTCCCCTCAAAACCCGCAAAAGACAAGGATACCCTCTCTGACCACTCCTATTCAACATAGTGTTGGAAGTCCTGGCTGGTGAAATCAGACAACAGAAAGAAATAAAGAGAGTAAGTCAAACTATCCCTCTCTGCTGATGACATGATCCTATATCTAGAAAACCCTATAGTCTCAGCCCAAAGGCTCCTTAAGCTAATAAACAACTTTGACTAAGTCTCAGGATACAAAATCAATGTACAAAAATCACTAGCATTCCTATACATCAACAATAGTCAAGCTGAAAGCCAAACCAGGAACACAATCACATTCACAACAGCCACAACATAAAATAACTGGGAATACAGCTAACCAGAGAGGTGACAGATCTTTACAGAAAGAACTATAAAACATTACTCAACAACATCAGAGATGACACAAACAAATGGAAAACATTCCATACTCTTGTATAGGAAGACTCAATATCATTAAAATGGCCATACTGTCCAAAGCAATTTGTAGATTCAATGCTATTTCTATTAAACTACCAATGACATTCTTCACAGAACTAGAAAATAGTATTTTAAAGTTCATATGGAACCATAAAAAAGCTCAAAAAGGCAATCCTAAGCAAAAAGAACAAAGCTGGAGGCATCACGCTACCTGACTTCAAACTATAATACAGGGCTGCAAAACAGCATGGTACTACTACAAAAACAGAGACATAGACAAATGGAACAGAATAGAGAACCCAGAAATAAGGCCCCATAACGATAATAATCTCATCTTTGACAAAGCTGACAAAAACAAGCAACAGGGAAAGGATTCCCTATTAAATAAATAGTGCTGGGATAACTGGCTAACCATAAGCAGAAGATTGATACTGGACATGTTCCTCACACTATATACAAAAATCAACTTAAACAGAGGTACAAGGAGGAGCTGGTACCATTCCTTCTGAAACTATTCCAATCAACAGAAAAAGAGGGAATCCTCCCTAACTCATTTTATGAGGCCAGCATCATCCTGATACCAAAGCCTGGCAGAGACACAACAAAAAGGAGAATTTTAGACTAATATCCTTGATGAACATTGATGCAAAAATCCTCAATAAAATACTGGCAAACCGAATCCAGCAGCACATCAAAAAGCTTATCCAACACGACCAAGTGGGCTTCATCTCTGGGATGCAAGGCTGGTTCAACACACACAAATCAATAAATGTAATCCAGCATATAAACAGAACCAAAGACAAAAACCACATGATTATCTCAATAGAGATAGAAAGGCAGAAAAGGCCTTTGACAAAAGTCAACAACCCTTCATGCTAAAAAGTCTCAATAAATTAGGTATTGATGGGACGTATCTCAAAATAATAAGAGCTATCTATGACAAACCCACAGCCAATATCATACTGAATGGGCAAAAACTGGAAGCATTCCCTTTGAAAACTGGCACAAGGCAGGGATGCCCTCTCTCATCACTCCTATTCAACATAGTGTTGGAAGTTCTGGCCAGGGCAATCAGGCAGCAGAAGGAAACAAAGGGTATTCAATTAGGAAAAGAGGAAGTCAAATTGTCCCTGTTTGCAGATGACATGATTGTATGTCTGGAAAACCCCATCTTCTCAGCCCAAAATCTCCTTAAGCTGATAAGCAACTTCAGCAAAGTCTCAGGATACAAAATCAATGTACAAAAATCACAAGCATTCTTATACAACAATAACAGACAAACAGAGAGCCAAATCATGAGTGAACTCCCATTCACATTTGCTTCAAAGAGAATAAAATACCTGCGAATCCAACTTACAAGGGATGTGAAGGACCTCTTCAAGGAGAACTACAAACCACTGCTCAATGAAATAAAAGAGGCTACAAAGAAATGGAAGAACATTCCATGCTCATGGGTAGGAAGAATCAATATCATGAAAATGGCCATACTGCCCAAGGTAATTTATAGATTCAATGCCATCCCCATCAAGCTACCAATGACTTTCTTCACAGAATTGGAAAAAACTACTTTAAAGTTCATATGGAACCAAAAAAGAGCCCACATTGCCAAGTGAATCCTAAGCCAAAAGAACAAAGCTGGAGGCATCATGCTACCTGACTTCAAACTATACTACAAGGCTACAGTAACCAAAACAGCATGGTACTGGTACCAAAACAGAGATATAGACCAATGGAACAGAACAGAGCCCTCAGAAATAATGCCACACGTCTACAACTATCTGGTCTTTGACAAACCTGACAAAAACAAGCAATGGGGAAAGGATTCCTTATTTAATAAATGGTGCTGGGAAAACTAGCTAGCCATATGTAGAAAGCTGAAACTGGATCCCTTCCTTACACCTTATACAAAAATTAATTCAAGATGGATTAAAGACTTACATGTTAGACCTAAAACCATAAAAACCCTAGAAGAAAACCTAGGCAATACCATTCAGGACATAGGCATGGGCAAGGACTTCATGTCTAAAACACCAAAAGCAATGGCAACAAAAGCCAAAATTGACAAATGGGATCTAATTAAACTAAAGAGCTTCTGCACAGCAAAAGAAACTACTGTCAGAGTGAACAGGCAACCTACAAAATGGGAGAAAATTTTTGCAGCCTACTCATCTGACAAAGGGCTAATATCCAGAATCTACAATGAACTCAAACAAATTTACAAGAAAAAAACAAACAACCCTATCAAAAAGTGGGCGAAGGATATGAACAGACACTTCTCAAAAGAAGATATTTATGCAGCCAAAAAAACACATGAAAAAATGCTCATCATCACTGGCCATCAGAGAAATGCAAATCAAAACCACAATGAGATACCATCACACACCAGTTAGAATGGCGATCATTAAAAAGTCAGGAAACAACAGGTGCTGGAGAGGATGTGGAGAAATAGGAACACTTTTACACTGTTGGTGGGACTGTAAACTAGTTCAACCATTGTGGAAGTCGGTGTGCCAATTCCTCAGGGATCTAGAACTAGAAATGCCATTTGACCCAGCCATCCCATTACTGCGTATATACCCAAAGGATTATAAATCATGCTGCTATAAAGACACATGCACGCGTATGTTTATTGCGGCAGTATTCACAATAGCAAAGTCTTGGAACCAACCCAAATGTCCAACAATGATAGATTGGATTAAGAAAATGTGGCACATATACACCATGGAATACTATGCAGCCATAAAAAAGGATGAGTTCATGTCCTTTGTAGGGACATGGATGAAACTGGAAACCATCATTCTCAACAAACTATTGCCAAGGACGAAAAACCAAACACCGCATGTTCTCACTCATAGGTGGGAGTTGAACGATTAGAACACATGGACACAGGAAGGGGAACATCACACATTGGGGACTGTTGTGGGGTGGGGGGAAGGGGAAGGGATAGCATTAGGAGATATACCTAATGCTAAATGAGGAGTTAATGGGTGCAGCACACCAACATGGCACATGTATACCTATGTAACAAACCTGCATGTTGTGCACATGTACCCTAAAACTTAAAGTATAATAATAATAAAATTTAAAAAAAAAAAGAACTTTGGAGACAGACTCAAAAAAAAAAATCAACTTAAAATGGATTAAAGACTTAAATGTAAAAACCCAAACTGTAAAAACCCTGGAAGACAACCTACATTTAAAATTAAAGACTTAAGTGTAAAACCCAAACCTCTAAAAATCCCTGGAAGACGACTTGGCAATACCATTCTTGACAAAGCAACAGGCAAAGATTTCATGATGTAGATGCCAAAAGCAATTACGACAAAAGCAAAAGTTGACAAAAGAGATTTAATTAAACTAAAGAGCTTCTGCACAGCAAAAGATAGTATCAACAGAATAAACAGGCAACCTACAGAATGGGAGAAAATATTTGCAAACTGTGCATCTGACAATGGTCTAATATCCAGCATTTGTAAGGAACTTAAACAAATTTACAAGAATAAAACAATCCCATTAAAGGACATTAACAGACATTTTTCAAAAGAAGACATACATGTGGTGAACAATCATATGAAAAGAAGCTCAACATCACTGATCATTAGGGAAAGGGAAATGAAAACCATGAAATACCATCTCACACAAATCAGAATGGGTATTATTAAAAAGTCAAAAAATAACAGATGCTAGCATGGTTGTGAAGAAAAAGTAATGCTTATACTCTGTTGGTGGGAGTGTAAATTTGTTCAGCCATGGTGGAAGACAATGTGGTGATTCCTCAAAAAACTGAAAACAGAAATAACATTTGACCCAACAATCTCTTTACTGGGTGTATTATTCTGTTTTCACACGACTATAAAGAAATACCCGAGACTGGGTAATTTAGAAAGGAAAGAGGCTTAATTGACTTACAGTTCCACATGGCTGGGAGGTCTTAGGAAACTTAGAAACGTGGCAGAAGGCAAAGGGGAAGCAAGGACCTTCTTCACATGGTGGCAAGAGAGAGAGGAGTGTGTGAAAGAGGAACTGTCAAAGGCTTTGCTTACGAAACGAAACAATCAGATCTCATGAGAACTCACTATCATGAGAACAGCATGGCGAAAACCTCTCCCACGATCCAATCACCTCCCTCCCTCAACACGTGGGAATTACAATTTGAGATGAGATTTGCATGGGGACACAGAGCCAAACCATACCATCCTGCTCTTAGACCCTCCCAAATCTCATGTCTTTTCACATTTGAAAACCAGTCATGCCTTCCCAACAGTCCTCAAAGTCTTAACTCATTCCTGCATTAATTCGAAGATCCACAGTCCAAAGTCTCATCCGAGAGAAGGCAAGTCCCTTCTGCCATTCTTGATTTTATGAGCCTAAAAAATCAAAAGCAAATTAGTTACTTCCTAGATACAATGTGGTTACAGGCATTGGGTAAATGCTCCTGTTCCAAGTGGGAGGAATTCGCCAAAACAAAGGGGTTACAAGCCCCATGAAAATCTGCAATCCAGCAGGGCAGTCATTAAATCTTAAAGCTCCAAAATCATCTCCTTTGACTCCATGTTTCATGTTCTTGGCATGTTGATGCAAGATGTGAGCTCACACAGCCATGGCAGCCTTTTCATGGGCTAGCATTGAGTGCCTGCAGCTTTTCAAGGCACATGGTTCAAGGTGTCAGTGGATCTACAATTCTGGGTTCTAGAGGATGGTGGCCCTCTTCTCACAGCTCCCTAGGCAGTGCCCTAGTGGGGACTCCGTATGGGGCCTCACACCCCACATTTCCCTTCCACACTACCCCAGCAGAGTTTCTCCATGAGGGCCCTGCCCTTGAAGCAGACTTCTGCCTGGACATCCAGGCGTTTTCATATAACCTGTGAAATTTAGGCAGAGGATCCCAAACCTCAATTCTTCTGTGTACCCACAGGCCCATCACCACGTGGAGGCTGCCAAAAGTTGGGGCTTGCATCCTCTGAAGCAACAGGCCGAGTGGTACCTTGGCTCCTTTTAGCCATGGCTGGAGCTGGAGCAGCTGGGATGCAGGGCACAAAATCCTGATGCTGCACATAGCAACAGGACTCTGGACCCAAATCACGAAACCATTTTTTTCTCCTAGGCTTTGAGGCCACTTGTTACTTTTAGGCTGCAAGGCCTGTGATGGGAGGGGATACTGCTAAGATCTCTGACATGCCCTGGAGACATTTTCCCCATTGTGTTGGCGATTAACAATTAAATCCTCGTTACTTATGCAAATTTCTGCAGCTAGCTTCAATTTCTACCAAGAAAATGGGATTTTCTTTTCTATTGCATCATCAGGCTGCAAATTTTCCAAACTTTTAGCTCTGCTTCCTTTTTAAACATAAATTCCAATTTCAGATCATCTCTCTCAAGTTAAAAGTGCCACAGATCTCTAGGGCAGGGCAGAATGCTGCCAGTCTTTTTGCTAAAGCATAGTAAGAGTGACCTTTGCTCCAGTGCCAGATAAGTTCCTCAGCTCCATCTAAGACCACCTAAGTCTGGATTTCATTGTCCACATCAGTATCAGCATTTTGGTCAAAACCACTCAACAAGTCTCTAGGAAGTTCCAAACTTCCCACATCCTACTTTCTTCTTCTGAGCCTTCCAAACTGTTCCAACCTTTGCCCATTACCCAGTTCCAAAGTTGCTTCCATATTTTCAAGTATCTATTTATAGCAGCACCCAACTCTCTGTGGTACAACTTTACTGTATTAGTCTGTTTTCACACTACTATAAAGAAATACCCGAGACTGGGTAATTCAGCAAGAAAAGATGTTTAATTGACTCACAGTTCCATATGGCTTGGGAAACCTCAGGAAACTTACAATCATGGTGGAAGGCAAAGAGGAACCAAGGACCTTTTTCACAAGGTGGTAGAAGAGAGAGGAGCATGTGAAGGAGGAATTGTCAAACACTTATAGAACCATCAGACCTCATGAGAACTCACTCACTATCATGAGAATAGCATGGGGGAAAACCTCTCTCATGATCCAATCACCTCCCTCCCTCAACATGTGGGAATTACAATTAGATATGAGATTTGGGTGGGGACACAGAGCCAAACCATATCACTGGGTATATACCCAAAGGAATATAAATCATTCTATCACAAAGACACATGCACAAATATGTTCATTGCAGCACTATTCCCAATAGCAAAGATATGGAATCAACTTAAATGCCCCTCATGGTAGACTGGATAAACAAGATGTGGTACATATACCCCATGGAATACTACGCAGCTGTAAAAAAGAATGAGATCCTGTCCTTTGTAGCGACATGGATGGAGTTGGAGGCCATTATTCTTAGCAAACTAACGTACGAACAGAAAATCAGATACTGAATGTTCTCACTTACAAGTGGGAGCTAAATGATGAGAACACATGGACACAATGAGGGGAACAACACACACAGGGGCCTACTTGAGGGTAGATGGTGGGAGGAGGGAGAAGACCAGGAAAACTAACTAATGGGTACTGGGCTTAATACCTGGATGATGAAATGATCTGTAAAAAAAAAACCCATGACACAAGTTTCCCTATGTAACAAACCTGCATATGTACCCCTGAACTTAAAATAAAAGTTAAAAAAAAAAAGAACTAGGATAGAATTCCAAATAACTCGATTCCAAGATTAAACACTGAACCACTTAAACACTGCAATGAAATGTCCCTTTTCAGCTCAAGAATATCATAAAATTGATTAACATTGAGGACCTGGAGCTCAAAAGGCCTATATCCTGATCAGTTGTGCAGACCCTTGGAGATGGGCTGATACAACAAATACTAGTGCAAAGACAAACAATAGATAAAGTTTAAAACAGAGTAGATGGTCAATGAAAAACATCACTTAATTAGGAGATGGTTCTTAAAAACTCTCTGGCTGTGCCTTTCGAAGGCTTTAAAAATATATAAATACTTTGGCTGCTTCTTTAGAGATTCTTTCACTTTTGACTGCAGTAGAGCTAAAATCAGAGGTTTTCTTTCCCCTCCATTGTATATTAGAAGCCTCTGTGGGATATTTATATATGCACATACAAAAAATAGGCTATAGCAATGGTCTCAAACTTGGCTGCATATGTGAATCACTTGTGTATGTAAACTATGTAGCACTGAGCCTGATACACAGAGAACATTCAAAAAGTATTAGTTATTACTGTTAAATAAGGATGTTAAGAATGAAAAAGCAGACTTCACATCTGTTTTAATGAATTGAATTGAACAAAGAAAAGAATGATTCATAGTAGTCCTTGGAAATCATCTATAAGTTAATCTGATATTGACTTTTCCCAGGCATGAAATTTGATTGGGCTTATTTATATACAAAATGTATAGATCACGACTTCCTTAAGGTCAGGGACAACATCTGATTCATCTCCATTCTTTTTTGCCCACTGACTTGTGTGGAGTAAGTATGCCAATATGTATTTTCTGAATGACTCCGAATATGCTTTATTGGATAAGCCAGCACTTAATGATTTTAATCAACTTCGTTTGAATCAAAATAGGTTTAAAACTTAGTTGCATGGTAATAAAAAGTCCTGAGAGATATTGTCAAATGATAACACCACTGTCTGGAGTGGGATACACAATAGAAAACAGTCCTGCTCCTAACAAAAGCAAGCTCTTGCCTTTGATGACAAGCACTGATCCAAAAGCAGAGAGAAAAATGAGGCTAGAAGGCTATTTATGTTTGGGAGAATTACAGTTCAGGTGGGAACACACAAAAAAATCTGGTAGAATCATGCCAAAAGAGAATCTTCTTATACAAAGATTTGGTTTTGATAAATCAGCACCAGATAAATTCATCCCCAAACAGCATTATTCTGAAATGTGATTAGCCTATGGAGAGTTGACGAAGCCATCACCGAGAGAGAAAGGTGGTTGGAGACAATGCTCTTCTTGTACTTTTGCACTGGAGGATGATTTTGCAGGCAAGAGATAAGAGGTGTTGAAAGTAATGCGATCCATAAAGAATGTATAGAGATAAAGTGTCTGAGATCATTGAGATAATATGCAAAGGCTGAGCTGGAGTTCTTAGCAGGGATGGAGACATTCATCTCACAAGAAAGCATAAAAAGTAACTTAACAGCAGGGAGACCTGGAAGTAACCGACTTTCATCAATACCAAATCATAAGATGAATGCTTACCATGATGCTGACACAGCATTGCGGTTTTTAGAAATACATGGGATGGGGTTATAGATGATGGAATGGTTACAGGAGTTTTAAAAGTCATTTTGTGCATCAAGACATGCTGAATTGTAGAGTACTCAAAGAGCCAATTTATTGTCCTAAAATATTAATCTGTTAAAACCTTTATAATCAGTGAACTCTCACTTTAAATTTCACCTTTGCATTTGATTGTACACAGAAGAGTTATTTTTCTTTGTATCAGTATATATAGATAACAGTACAGAAGGCAATTGAGAGTGGTTAACTTGCTCAGAACTCACTCCCCCTCACTCCTTTCTTCTTTACAGAGACAAGCCCTTTTCAGCTCTGCTCCATCCATATGGTCACCGTGTATATAAAGTATGATCATGTTTATAAAATATGACCCTTGCCTACCAAACCTCAGTGGATTGGCCAGGAGTGGGAAACTGACTCAAGCTGCACCAAAGTGGATTTAGAATTCTCACACGCATCTGACTGGTCTCTTAAATAGCAGCATTTAATCACTGGAGTTGTGGGTGGCTACGTTTCACCATGTGGGATGAGAAGCAGAGAAAGCTAATTTGCAGGGTAGAGATGCAAAGAGGAGGGTGACACCATCTTTGGTCTATTTCTGAGTCTCAGATGCATTCCTGCCCTCAGGTTCCGGGAGACATTGTATTTCCTTATAATAAATTTCCTCCTTGTGTTGTATTCTTGCCCAAGTGAGTTTCTATTCCTGTCAAACAAGAGTCTGAACCAATACAGAAAGGAGCTCTAGCTGTTTGCAGAATGCGTTTACTTTTGCTCATGAAAGGGAGTCCTAACAAAATGAATGTTTGCTAGGCAGAGTGACCCAAGTCTTCACTTTGAATACTGATAAGCTTTTCCTTCACATTGGAGTTAGATTTGAAAATCTGGTCTCAAATTAAGATTGGCGTATCTGGTCTTCCAGATGGTGACTCGTATCTTGATGTAAAATGAAATGACTTCTGTCTTTTATGGTAGCTCTGACATCAGCATTTATTACACTTGTAGAGCGTGCTGGTGTCTGCTGTGTGAAACATGCTCAAAAGATATTGTTTGCCAAGGGCTTCAATGAGGAAAACAAAGCAGAAAGAGGGCATGGGGTACCTTAGAAAGGGCAAAGGGGGTAGAGCAGATAACCTGGATTTAAGTCTTATGTTTCTTTGAACAACTTGAGTCCCTCTCCCTGAGTTGATATGGATGAAGCTAAACAGAATGGCATAATGAAAGAGTAAGTTTTTAGGGTTAAATAACCACATGTTCAAATCTCACTTTTGCCACTTACTAGTCATGTAACTTTAATTTAGTTACTCATGATTTCTGAACCTCAGTTTTTTCCTCTGTAGAATAAAAATATATGTTCTTCTTCCCTTATAGAATTAAAAAATAAGAAATAACATAAAAGCTGGGCACTTAGTAGGTGTTCCTTATATAGTAGGTACCATTATTAGGCCAAATCAAATTGTTGGATTTAATTCCTTTATTAACTTATTTATGTATTCATTCCTCCCACAAATATTTTCTCTGTGCCTGCTATGTGCCAGGCACTGTGTTAGGGGCTGGAATTGCACCAGTGGAAAAAAAGCAGTATCTATGTCTTCCTGATGCTTACAATTCAGTGAGTACTAGAGCAAATGTAATGGATGATCAAATTTCTTGGGCTTTGGAGACCTCATCTAGGTAGAGGCACCCTACATGTTCCTGTCTGAACAGGCAGCGGCCTTCCTGTTTACTATCGTTTTAAATGCAATATTTGTGAACACCTTTTCTTCCTCATGCTTCCACAACCTGTATGAGGATTCCTTGGCTTAGCTTCTTATTGGGGCTATTCTTTAGTGGCTTTCACTTTTTTTTCCAAATAGCTGATTTTTTTTCTTAGTGCTAAATGTATTGTTTTCTGTCTGATTGATTCTGCTATTTCATTTTATTAATTCAAACTTTCTTGCATGTGGGTTTTTGCAGTTTATTTCCCAAATTGTGTTTTTCCAGCTCAGTTTTGGCTTCTTCCTGAAAACAAGGCTATACTGCATTATGCTCTAGAATTTCTTCACCTGCAGTTTCATATCACCTGCTGGTTGCATGCTAGGCTATTTGTCATGTGATTAACAATTAGTAAAAATGGCATTTTGACCACATGCCCAGAGGAACACCAAAGATTGGTAGTCCATCTTCAAACCCACCTGGCTCTCTTCATCAAAGTGCTCATTAACACAGAGTTTGGGCTTCCATACTGTCAGTTTCTGGGACTGATTATTCTCCATTTAAGTCTGGATCCACGTCCACAACAGTCTTGTCTTTACTTGCGTGTACATTTTCGGCTGTCACTAAACCATCATACTGCCATCAGGGGCCAGAGAAGTCCAAATAATGCAAGGCTATGTTCTTCAGAGATTCCTGGGGGTTTGGCCAGACCACAAAAATAGTCATCACTGTCCTTATTGTATTTCAAAACCCAACCAGTAACTACTAATGTCTATGATTCTTT
This sequence comes from Homo sapiens, assembly GCF_000001405.40. NCBI lineage: Eukaryota > Metazoa > Chordata > Mammalia > Primates > Hominidae > Homo > Homo sapiens. The sequence continues at coordinate 68,372,178 of NC_000003.12, read as the reverse complement.
GTTCACTTATTTTCAACCTGCGGGGCATCTTAAATAACTTAAATATTTATCCAAAAGTTTGGATAAAAGTGGGAGAAATAAGGAGGCACTTTTATCAAATACTTTCTATGTGTTAGACTGCAGATCTCAAACTGCCTACAAAGTTTGGCCCATTAGATACTAGCCTACATCGAGATGTTCAGAAGTGTTAAATTAGTCACAGTAGAATTTCACATAAGAATCTAGATTTCTAGTTTCTCTGAAAAATATCAGGTTGAGCAGCACTGGATCACCATGTCCCCATGGGAGCAATTAGCTGGTACTGACACTGACCAGTAGCACCATTCCCAATTAAAAACAGTGTGTGCTCACCAGTTCTCAACATTCTCTAACACTCTTCTCTGTCTCCAACTTGGCCACTTTTGTTTATTTTTAAATTTTATGCATCCTGTGCGCATTTGAGTTTGCAACATCTATCTTAGGTGATTTCACACATTTTAACTTCACAAAAACCCATTTATTGCAGCACTATTTACAATAGCAAAGTCTTGGAACCAACCCAAATCCCCATCAATGATAGACTGGATAAAGAAAATGTGGCACATATACATCATGGAATACTATGCAGCCATAAAAAAGAATGAATTCATGTCCTTTGCAGAGACATGGATGAAGCTGAAAACCATCATTCTCAGCAAACTAACACAGGAACAGAATACCAAACACCTCATGTTCTTGCTCACAAGTGGGAGTTAAACAATAAGAACACATGGACACAGGGAGGGGAACATCACACACTGGGGCCCGTTGGGGGTTGGGGGCAAGGGGAGAGAGAGCATTAGGACAAATACCTAATGCATGCAGGGCTTAAAACCTAGATGACAGGTTGACAGGTGCAGCAAACCACCACGACACATGTATATTTATGTAACAAACCTTCACGTTCTGCACATGTATTCCAGAACTTAAAGTAAAATAAAAATGAAAAAAAGAAATAAGAATCGTCTGCAGTTTACCAATGAAAAAACAGAGGCTCAGAGTAGTTTTCTTTATAATAAGAGTGGACCCATGCTTATTTACATTGCATCAATGGGGAGAAGAGGAAAAATTACAATCTTTTCTTAACAGAAGAGTAGATAAGAAAAATAGAGTATTTCTGACTTGCTTGGCCTGTTGTGCATTTTGTTCAGTGATTTCTAGATTATTACGGTAGTTCAATTTTATAGTTAGAAGCAAATCAAAAACAGTTAAATGTAGAAAAAAGGCGAAGCAATGTTCTAGAAGATTATACCCCAAAATATCTTCTCAAACTGATTCAACCACATGATCATAGTTAATTAAAATTATAGATTATTCCCTGGCACTCCCCAGCTCATTCAGGGATTATGAGTCCAGACAATTAAAAAAAAAAAAAAAAAACAACGAAAACACCCGAGGAGGTTTAACAAAGAGAACAGTCATTCTCCAATTGTCTAGGAGTACTTTTGTGGCTCTTATATGTAGTTTCATGAAGATAACTTCTAATTCTCATAAGATTTTCAATTTCCCACACACTTAGAAAAGGAACTCCATCATCCTACTTGTAACATTTCTTAAATAGTTAACAATTCATTTTGAGTTTTTGCAGTAAAAGTTGAGCTATTTCACTCTGGTTAACTTCAGGCTCCAAAATACATATGTGGGTATATATATATATATATATATATATATATATATATATATATATACACACACACACACACACATATATATACATATGTATATATATGTGTGTGTGTGTGTACATATATATGTGTATATATATGTGTGTATATATATGTGTATATATATATGTGTGTGTGTGTGTATATATATATATATATATATATATATATATATTTTTTTTTTTTTTTTTTTTTTTTTTTTTTTTTTTTGAGATGGGGTCTCCCTTGTCGCCCAGGCTGGAATGAAGTGGCGTGACCTTGGCTCACTGCAACCTCCGCCTCCCGGGTTCATGCCATTCTCCTGTCTCAGCCTCCCTAGTAGCTGGGACTACAGGCGCCTGCCACATTGCCAGGCTAATTTTTTGTATTTTTATTAGAGACGGGGTTTCACCGTGTTAGCCAGGATGGTCTCAATCTCCTGACCTTGTGATCCGCCTGCCTCGGCCTCCCAAAGTGCTGGGATTACAGGAGTGAGCCACCACACCTGGCCCAAAACATTTTTAAAGAAATGATCAATCATCTATATTTTAAAACAAATATACATTTCGGCATTCAGCTTCCTGAGTGCCTTAAAAGCACATGGGTGGTCCTGTTTTCTTTTCTATTGTCTGAATGGAGGATCTGTCTTGTGTTTTGAAGGTGTGGCACTTGCAAATATTTTGAGAGGGAATCTGGTTTTTTTCTAATAGAATGTGCAAATGTGCACACCATTCTAGAAACAGGAGATCTTGTTTAACAAGAAGAGTATTTGGAGAAACAACACAAGAGGCAGCATCAATTTATATTGAAATTGAAAACAATGTGAGAGTGAGTGATGGCAAATCCCTAAGAAATGGAGTATTTAAATTGAACAAGGGCTATAAAATGGAATTGGCTAAGGGAAAACAACGATTCAGAAACTACATAGGACAATATCATCTTTGAACTGTGACTACTATTGGCTAACAACCAATGGGGTGACAGGGTTGATAGCACCAATTTTAAGATGTGGACCTCATAAATATTTTGCTAACTTCAATCATTTGTTTAAATACACATATCCTTATTGTAGGCCTGATTTCTTTGCAAAGAATAAATTGAAAATTCACTTTAGTAAATTTTTTAAACTTCAGCAATAATGTATTGAGATATAATGCCAGCCAATGCATCACCTTTTTCTTCATATCAACTATAAAAGATACTCCGATCCAAGGATTTGTCAAAAGCTCATCTTACCTATTACAATGGTTGGTGGCCTTTGTTAGCCTTTCATTATAAAACAATTTATATCCAAGACACATTAGATTTATTTTGGGTGTGTGTGTGTGTGCCTGCACCAACATAAGTGTGTGCTAGACAAGTGTTCCAGAACATCTCTCTTCTAACTAGGCATGAAAGGTTGATATTATAAAATGTGTTTTAAAGAAGTGAAGTGCCTGCTATAGCAAAATATAGGCTATCTATTTTGACAATATCGTAAGGTCATATCAAGCAATAAAATAGTGATTTACATATATTTTTGATATATTCTACATAATAAATTTTATGTTCATCAGATGCTTTCATAATTCTCCCACTATCCACTAGTCCAGAACCTACTATCAAGTTAATTCACGGAGAAAACAGCAGGAAAGAAATACTGGTATAAGCAACGAATTCAGAATACATTCTTGTGTGATGCTGCCTTGCTTCTGAATAGTAACTGCTCCACAAATGTGTTGCCCCTCATTTTCCCTTGGGTTTAGATAAAAGTAAGTTGGTGGAGATTTTGGTGGCAGAGATGAAATGGATTTTTATTTTGGGTTCCCCTTCCCACATATACCTGTGCAAAGAAGTCAATACAAAATAATATTGAGGAAATGAAGGAGGGAATAGGGGAGATAAGTAGAATCATCATGGTTTTCTTTTTCTATTAAAGACAACGGTAAAAAAAAAAAAAATCTCAAGATGGCCTCTGGTTAGTGGACAGTCTGACATCCCTGCTGTCTTTATGATGTTCTGTGTAATGGGATTTCTTTTTACTTAGACTATGTTATCTACATGGGCCACAGAGATATAAGGGCTTCAAGGCCCATCAGAAATGATTTTGCGGTCTAGTGATAAAGTCACTAAAATTCTGGCCCCAAAGGTGAAACCTCCCACCAGGGACTGAGAAACACCTATTCTCTTTATGGGATCAAATTCCATACTGCTCAGCACCTCCCTTGTTTAAAAACTAACCAGAGAAAACATATATTAATCTAACATTAATGTATTGGGTTTATTTCATCTCATAAATTTAATTTGATTAAGAGACAATGGTGAGGAGAAGCACACTTTTAAAGATTACACAAGTTGTCTGTTACTTCAGGACAAAAAAATCCTGAGGTTTTTCACTTGGGAATGTGAACAAAATGAAAATTTCAGGCAATTAACTGGCAGAATTACATGTATATTTACACGTAGAATGGCTTATTTTTCATTGTAATTAGCTTTTAGAGTATCACTGGGGATTCAAATAAATGTATGGGAATATGTACATATAAATAAGCTGTTTGCATTTGAGTTAATTTGTTTCACCACTAGATATGGGCAGCAGCTAAGTGAGCCATTAATGTTGAACATTAGTTACACAAACAATAGAACCACTCCCTTCACCCAAGCAGTTGTCCTTTATTTTTTTGTCTCCTTCCTAGAACCTGCCTTATTAGAACTTTTATATCCCACTTCTCAACCTTGGCTTAAAATTAGAATCACCCAGGGAGTTTTAAGACAAACAAACAAACAAACAGGCAACACAAGCGAGCAGATGCATGGGTCCTACCACAGAGAGCCTTTTATTTTGTCTGGGGTATGGTTGGACTAGATTTTTAAAATCTTTCAGGCGATTATAATGTGTCCGAGGTTGTGTACCACTGAATCACAACATGAGTTTCGTCAGATATTAGGAACATCACTTTGATGATCACAGCTTTTCCAGCCCTGTCTCTTTGCTTACAAGTGACTTGTGTGGTTCTTGACATGTTTCACCTTTGACTCCCAGTGGAGGAAAATCATGGTATGTGACCGCTGATGGACACTGAAAGTTGTTACTAAACAACTTGAAAGTGCGTTTGACCTAACCTTTGTTTCCTTTTGTCCCATTAAATCTCACCACTGCAAGATTATTAAAGCCTAAAGAGATCTTTCACATTTTATAAGGCAACTTTACCATGTTAAGCAGGAAGCTGGTAAACAGGTTGAGATTACTGAAGAATGACACTGTCATTTACAAGAATTCTGATTTCCAATGAGGGACGTAGATTACGTTACACTTGAAGAGATTTCTGTGCCAGAAACATCCCACTTAAAGCTTCAGGTGGGTCTTAAAAATAGGCAACCTCATCATTTATGTGCTAGCACGATCTAAATTGCTTTGCATGAGGTAATCTACTACATTCTCACAACCACCCCATAAGGGAATGTAGCACCTTATAATGATCTTAAATAAGATCCCTATTCCTGCTTAAGGGGTAAGGAAAACTATGGTTAACTTAGAACTGGGGGGTAAGGACAGTCAGTTCTGGAGACCTTGAGTCAGGGTCAATGTCCAGAGTGTCACAATTGACAGGTCAGAATACAAACACATTTGAACATGATCAGGCTCTAGATAGACAGATATGATTCCTGGTTTTTCATTCTAAATCTTGCTTCTAATAATAAATGTGAGTTCTGTTTATTGAGCACATACTGTTAAATCAGGCACTTCACTGGACACATCATTTAATTCATTTAAAACCCACAAAACCTAGATGAGTAAAATCATTCTTTTTGGTGTATAGAAGAGAAAATTTATGCTTAGAAAAGTTCAATAACCTGTCCCGAGTCCAAAGCTGGATTTGAACTGTCTGGTCTTGAAACCTCTGTTTTGAAGCCCTGCCACATATTGCCTGCCTGTAAGGAAAGGTATGATAATACGTTTGTATCCACTACATTACACTACTTCATGGTTCTTTACATTTCCACCCAGCGAAGTCCCTTTCTCCATTGCAGACATATATGCTTAAGAAGAATCAACACTACATTGTGTAATGGTTTGAAAACAAGTACTAGGTGTAAGGATGTTAAAGGAAGACTATGAATTGCTGCTTTACACAAGAATCCTTGTGCCCTCTGTTCTTTCTGAAAGTCAAGATTTCAAGCTGTTTTCCTTCACACTCATCCTGTGACAATTCTCTGTTGGACTCAGCTACAGACAAGAGGGAAACTGGAAAGGACACTCACCCATTGATATTATTGGGCTGTGTCCCCACCCAAATCTCATCTTGAATTGTAGCTCCCATAATTTCCATGTGTTGTGGGAGGGACCCCATGGGAGATAACTGAATCATGGGGGCGGTTTCCCCAATATGGTTTTCATGGTAGTGAATAAGTCTCACGAGATCTGATGGTTTCTTTTTTTTTTTTTTTTTTTGAGATGGAGTCTCGCTCTGTTGCCCAGGCTGGAGTGCGGTGGTGCAATCTCGGCTTGCTGCAACCTCTGCCTCCTGGGGTTCAAGTGATTCTCCTGCCTCAGCCTCCCGAGTAGCTGGGACTACAGGCACGTGCCACCATGCCCAGCTAATTTTTGTATTTTTAGTAGAGACACAGTTTCACTATGTTGGCTGGTTGGTCTCGAACTCCTGACCTTGTGATCCGCCCGCCTTGGCCTACCAAAGTGCTGGGAGTACAGGCATGAGCCACCACACCTGGCTGATCTGATGGTTTTATAAGGGGAAACCCCTTTCACCTGGCACTCATTCTCTCTTGGCTGCTATCATGTATTATGTGCCTTTCACCTTCCACCATGATTGTGAGGCCTCCCCAGCCACATAGAACTGTGAGTCCATTAAACATCTCTTTCTTTATCAATTACCCAGTCTCAGGTATGTCTTTATCAGCAGCATGAAAATGGACTAATACACCCATCTTTATTTGAAGTGTCCTACATAGTAACTCACATCCTTGATTTTTTGGGTCAACATCCCTTCTCCCTCCTTAACTCCTCATCCTTCTCATTGTCAAAATATCTTATACATTGTAGTGTTGGAGCATCCAAACCATATTTCTTACCTGCCTCTGTAATTTGGAAGTTCTATAAATATCTTTAGCTGTGGTCCTTTCATTAGAAGTCACATGTAACTTTCAGGTTTCAACTTCTCTGGGTACCAATATTGATTCCATAAGCAGCAGCAGGTAGAGCGGCCAGAAAATGGGTTTTATAGTCAGAGAGACAAATGTTCAAGATCTAGATCTATCATTTACTGTCTGTGTATCTTATGAAAATTATTTAGGATCATAGGTAAGAAGCTCAGTTTTCCCATCTGCAAAATGGACCTCAGTATACTTACTGGGTAATTCATTATACAATGTATACGAAGTGATAATCACATTGCTTGCTTAGTGTATATGAACTGCTACAACAAACACAACTACTATTAATATAACAAACTGTGCCCCACTCCAATAAACGAGTCTTTCAGCTTCATGATCAAGGTCAAAATCATAAGGTCCCTTACAGACAAGCCGATTATCACCTTAAATAAAGGATGCAGTGGAGATTCTGCAAACACATGTTTAGGTTCAAATCCCTGCCTTGCCACTTTCTGACTGTGTGACCTTTGATAAGGGACTGAACTTCTCTGTGCCTCAGTTTCTTCATTTATAAAATGAGGATAAAAATAATATTCATATCATAGGGTTGTTGGAAAGATTCAGAAGTTAACAGAAGAGTTAACATATGGAAAGTTCTTAGAATTCTGCCTGGCACATATGAAGGAGTATTTCAATGTTAGTTATGTTAATTATTTCAGTTAACTTCACCCCAAATTTACAATGAAAAAACAGAATTGAAGAATATATAGTCTATGCTTTTCTTAGATATACATCTCAGTTTCCCTAGAAACTTTCATGTTTATACATTTTAAACTTAGATGTCTGTAAGTTTATAAGATAAATACGTTCCTCTAGAAATGTTCCCCTTGAAATGCATCCTTCTCTTTATTATCTTTACCCTCTTTAATTAAGTTTTTGTACCAAATCTCTCTTTACGGTGCTGTTCTTTATCATTTTTTAACTTCTTTTTTGGAATTTTGGAGATGTGCCTCCTGAATCAAACACAGTATCCAAGCTATGGAGTGTAAATAATAACTGCCATTAATCGTAGTTTTCTAAAGTTTCCTGTGACGAATCACCAAAAGTACCTGGTAAGTGCCCAGTTATCTGGCCTGTCCCTGGGAAGCCCTAACTCAGCAAGTCTGGATTGAAGTCCAGGGATCTGTATTTTAAACAAATATTACAGGATATTCTGAGAGCTATATCCTTCTGTCCTAAGTGCTGACTTAAAGCTGAGGTGGGAGATAGCAACAAGGCCTTCACTTACACTTAATTCTGATTTCACTTTCTGTTGTCACTCCTCCCAGCCCCAGAGGGTAAATTTCTCAGCTTTTTTCCTGTGAACAATTACTCTCAAACACACTGTGCAATCTTCATTTCTGAGATTCCTAACCTCTAGTAGCTCATGCTTTCAAGCCACCAAATCCATCAGCTGGAAACAGTTTTTCATGGCATGTTGAACAAGACAGAGACAATGTGACCCCTGAGACACTGCAGAGTAAGGTAATGGGTAAAAACTTATGTTCGCAATGTTGTAACCTTGAGAAATCCCGCAAGGCTGCCTGTGTCTTCAGTTTGCGTACTCATAAAGAAAAAAGCTATAACTTGCCTTTCTTTTTGGATATATTGGGAGATTTCATTGGTTATTCCAGGCAAGAAAATGAGCCAATGCATAATGATTTACTTCTTTAAAAAGAACCGGGATGAGTCTTCTAAAGAAAATCAGGCAGGATGCATTTTTAAAATTGCAAAAGTTTTTCTTATTTATGCTTCCTTCAAATTGTATTTTCTCAGAAAAGGGTTAGAAGAATTAAAAAATGCCTTGGGCTTTCTCTGGATAGGGCAAGATACCCTAAAGATCAAAAGCTTGTCTTTCGGACTTTGAATTCCCATTTTCCATGTATTAGCTGGGAGGCCTTAGAAAAGTCATTCAGCCTCTTTGAACATTGGTGTTTTCATCTATCAAGTGGGAACACTCTACCTCATAAGATTTGCTCCAAAGACTAAATAAAATAATTTATGTAAGCCATTTAGCACAGGTCCTAGCACAGAGGACAGAAAGGTGCAACCCAGGACCCATCGTGGTTCATTTTCTCTGCCTCAAAGTCACTTCCTTCTCATTTTCATGTGTGCCGCTCTCATTCATTCACTGAGCCCAGCTCGAATATTTCTACCTTCTCACTCTTCCCAAATTAACAAATGTTGAACACCTACCATGTGCCAGGCATGCATTCCAAAACCAGCTCTCAGGCTTTGTAATAACATGAGCCAAGGATTGAGTGGAAATCATAAACTAGTGGAAAGAGTAACATCAGGAATTCCCCAGTAGGTAATTGGCAATATCATCCAAAATAGAGAAAAGTTTTATTCAACCAATTTTAAAGTCAGGACAGTTAAACTGTATTTAAAAAAAAAAAAAAAAAAAGCCTGCAAGACAGGGCTTACATCGTTAAAAAAAAAAAAAAGGAAGAAATCTAATTTGGGATTAAGGTGCTTTAAAACTGTTTATATTCTCATTCTATTACTCGTTATGTACTATGACATGCCCCACATTTAATTTCAGAGTAAAATGTGTTTGGAACTACACACATTTGTAGAACCTACCGTATCATCTCTTTCCTGGTGAGTGATATCATCCACCAACCACTTGTCTCCCTGATTTTTGGTTCTGCCTTCTAAAACCCTCAGACAGCTTGCTGTTACGTAGCCCCTTCTTAGAAACTCCTTATGACTTCACATTCACTGCAGGAAGGGTTGAACTGCATTTCCACTCCATTCCTGTTAGGAACCTAACCTCCTGTTATTTATTTATTTTTGGCAAACAAACCAAACACAAACCAGCTCAGAAGCTTATACGTTGAGAAGGTGTCCAATAGATATGTATTAAATCAAGTCCATAAACACCATACCAATAAAACCAAACCCAACATTATAGCTTGATTCTCTGTAGTTTTTGCCTGTGCTGTTTCCTGAATCTAAGATACCATTTCTCCGTCTTCAGTCCGTGAGAATGTTATCATTCAAAGCCCAGCCAAAATGCCACCTCTGTGGTTATTGCTTTGCAAGTCTCTAGGAGCAAAGTGAATAATGACATCCCCTTTTAACTCTCACAGCATTTAGTATAGACTCCGATTATGGCTTGTGCCCAATACACACCTTGCAGTCCCTCTAGGCCTGTAGCACAAATCATGTTTCCATCTTCCTCAGAAACCAGCATGGCACAGTTTGTACATTGAGAAAGTGTATAATAGGTATGTTATAAATTCATAGGTATAGTTTATAAATTCAATTTATAAACTCCATACCAACAAAACCCAACCCAACCTTATTGCTTGATTCTCCATTGAAAGAAAGAAGTAAAAGACATTTTCTCCCTCTACTAGACAGCCATTTTAGTTTTCAAAATTATTTAGTGCTAAGTTGGGGACTGGTTGGAATGGTTAATAGATGAGTGACACCATGTTAGTAAAAAGATCATTGATTTTGGATTTACACAACTCTGCAACTCACTGCCTTTGTGAGCTCAAGTAAATTCATTACCCTCTCAAGAGATTCAGTGCCACCTGTAAAATGGGCATAAGATAAATCTCACAGATTTTTGTGTCACAAGTAAATTAAATAATGTGCAAAATCACCTAACACAAAAGGTTACAAATAATACATGCTCATGAAATGTGGGTTCTCTCCTTTGCTTTCTTTCTCATGTCTTACCCAGTTCTGTTGGGTTACAGTTTAATCTTGTTTTTTTTTTCCTTTGTTTTCCATTTTAATTTTTTTAGTGATACAAAATATTTTACACACTTAGGGGGGACATGTATTTGTTACATGACTATAATGTGTAATGATCAAATCAGGAATATGGGGTTATCCATTACTTTGAGTATTTACCATCTCTATGAGCCCATAACACTTCAAGTCCTCTCTTGTAGCTACTTTGAAATATGCAATGCATTGTTGCTAACTATAGTCACCCTACTCTGCTATCGAACATTGGCGCTTTTTTGTCTATGTTTGTACCCACTAACCACCCTCCCTTTTTCTGTAACCCTACTCACTCACACACCTTTCTCAGCCTCTGATATCTATCATTCTATTGTCTATCTCCATGAGATCAATTTTTTTAGCTCCTACCTGTGAGTGAGAACATATGGCATCTATCTTTCTGTGTTCGGTTTTTCACTTAACATAAAAACTTCCAGTTCCATCAATGTTGCTGCATGACACAATTTCATTCTTTTTTATAATGCTGTTTTTTTTCTTGCTCAACACTTCGTGATGCAGCCAATTGATTCTGACTTCCCACCTATACAATAATTATTTTAATACTTGAAGGCCAGTGTGAGGTCATCCTTTAGATGACAGTAATTAAAGTTTTCAGCAAAAGTGCATTTTGCCTTATTATTTCTTTAGCATAAAACTATACCACACTTTATCCATCGTCAAAACAGAAGACCGAAATCATAACATGTGTTTCTTATGAATATTAAACTTGGTGATTTAAAAGCCTCTCGCCAGCTTAATATTCAATGAATAATAACTGATTTTAATAACTTCTAGTTTTCATTAGAGTACCAAACTTTTTTCATGGCTGCATTATGTTGTCAAAATGCTAATGTATAGTACAGTGATTTTGTTTCTGCATAAAATGTGAGCATTTCCATATGACTCAGTGATTTTAGCATTGCTGAATCTTCATAGGAGGCCAAGCTGTGAGTTTAAATAGAAACATGTGTCATACTTACATGTACAGACAGTATTTCAAATGACTAACTGTGGCAATATTAATGGTACCAACTTGAAATTTTCAGTCTGCTGAGTGAGCAGATTTGTGACTTAAAAAAAACCCAACAACCATACTAAATGACATAACCACCGAGTAGCCGCTACTCTACTTTGTGCCCTTTTCCTTCTACTCATCATTCCTTTGTCTCTAAATATCGGGTGAAGAGTGAATTTGGCATCTTGCTCTATGATGAAAACTTAGTTATGCCAACATATGTACTGGAATACCACAATGTATAACATGTTATATTATGGCTGTAACCAGGCAAACAGCCTAGAGAGGATAAGCACCTATATTCTACTAAATAGTTAAATTGTTAATCATAAAAGTCTTGCATGTGCTCAAATGGTTGCTCAAAAGGGATGCTAATAGTGGTGCAGTCAAACTATTCTCTACACGTCACACACCTCTATGAGGATCTGTGGAGTAAATATTCTCTGCCAAATCACCACGACATTTAGCATGAGGAGGCATGGAACTGAAGTGCCATCAAAGTTGGTTATGTACTTTTATTGTTCAAGAGGGAAAATCTGTACCATACTTCAATCATAGCTGCAAATAATGGAGAGGCATTGATTGATCCTGATAAATACAAGTGGGGGTCTAAAAAACATACAGTAACAGAATGGTGAACCCATGACCCCACTTCATATAATATCTTATAAGGGAGCACACTTGTATTTTTGTGTTCAGTTTATACATGTTTTATTCAATATGTCTCATATCAAGGTCCTCACTAATAGATTCTACGAAATGCTTCCTTATAAAACTAGAAAAGTGGTTCGTCTAATGGAAAAAGCCCTCTGTTTTGACAGTGAAATAAACTTTAGCTCCATGAAGGGGCATTTGGTGGCTTAGTTTCCTATTGCTGTTTTAACAACTTACCACAATCTTGGTGGCCTGAAACAACACCAATTTATTATTTTACAGCTCTGTAGTTCAGAAGTTTAACATCGGTCCCACTGGGTTAAACTCAAGGTGTCAGGAGGGCTGTGATCTTTCCTGGAAGCTCTAGTGGAGAATTCATTTCCTTGAATTTTCTGGCTTTTAGAGACTGCCCACATTCCATGGTGAATGGCCTCCCTTCCTTGATCTTCAAATCCAGTAATGACAGATTGAGTTCTTCTCACAGCATATCACTGCATTCTTTTCTTCTGCATCCCTTTGTATTTGTATTAGGCCAAGCTAGATAATTCAGGATAATCTCCTTATTTTAAAATCAACTAATTAGCAGGCTTAATTCTATCTGCCACCTTAATTTTCCTTTTGCCTTGTAGGGTAACATATTCATAGGTGCTAGGGATTGTGGGGGTATCATTGGCGGGATCATTATTCTGCCTATCACAGTGGCCAACCCAAGCATTACTGAAGTCTGTTCTGCAATTTTTGATTAACATGATTTTAAGAATATTGACCTTTTGCCATAGGGCATACTGGAAGAACTTCATGTATTTGCAGTATGATATGTGAACAATAAAAAAGGAAATTTCTCCATGGAGAAGGGTAGCATAAATAATATGATATCTGGCCCAAGAGTAGACAACAGTGCTCTGGGTACAAAGCTTATGATGTCAAACAAATTCATGCAAGGAAAAGACATTTTGTTATAGTGGTGAGACCCAGGACAAAAAGTGGCAGATTGGCCATAGCCTTGACAGAAGATGATACCTGATTAATTCTAAATCAAGTTGGATGATTATTGCTTTAGGTGGGATTAAACTTCTTAGGTAGGCTGGAAACAGAAAATCAATTCAGATCACTCAATTGGTGACAACAGTTTACAAAAATGGTCATAGAAGGATTATCATCTTCTCCATTATGCTACATGTTTACCTAAGAACCAGCAAGGTATCACTAATACATGCCATAGGCTCTGTCATCCTGAAGGCTACAAGTTTTATTTTAAAGGAAGGGCAGCATTTATTCACCAGCAAAAACTCCATCTGAGGGCTGTGAGCAGCTGCAGGGATGGGGAAGGAGAGTAGACCATAGATTTGCGGTATGGGGGAAAGACAATCAGTCTACCTTGGAGGTGGGGATAATGAGGCATGCAAACAATGAAATAATATGTAACCATTTAAAAAGGGAAGCCATATCATACAGTGTCTGAGAGAGTCCACCTGTTACTAGTTTTTCTTGGGCAAGTTGCTTGACCTCTCAAGCTTCAGTTTCCCTGCCTGTTAGATGAAAACAATGATAGAACTGGAATAATGCCTCAGATTTGTTGAAATGTTAATGAGATGTAAATATCTTAGTACAGAATTTGACATATGGTATGCCATCAATAATAAAACTGGGTATAATTGTAAATATTATTAGCTCAATAAGATGACATGAAGATCTCCAGGATATAAAAAAAATAAAAATCAATAGAACTAGAATGATTCAGTGTTTTAAATAAAAACAATTCAAAATTATGTATACAGAAAGTCATATAAGCATAGAAAAATGTCTGAAAATACATACACTTAGTTGTTTTCAGTAATTCTGGGAGCAGAATTTGACTTTTAGCTTTATTGCTATAATAAGAATAAACAGCCTTGTTGAATGTTGGTTCCCTGAAAATACTACCAAAACAATCTGCTGATAATCCATTTAATGAATACATAATACTTTTGTAAGAATATCAAGAAGGCACATGAAGCAACATGTAAAGTACATTTAAACATTTTGTGTAACATCTGAAGGCTTCTGTAATCTGATATTATTCTATCACCTCTTAAAGAAAAATTATCTCTCCAATTTCCAAGATCCCAAATCTAAACTAAAACAGATCATCTTCCTCATAATTCCTTGGGAACTTGAACAGGTGTAATTGGGAATCTCCAAGCTCAGGGACACTTACATCTCTAAAAGGGATATAAAAATGCCCTGTCAGTCCACCCTTAGGCTGCCTTTTGCACAACATAACAAGAATCAGAATGCTTGGAAAGAATATAGTTGACAAGAGCCATTTTCTCCCCCTGTGTCTAGTCTCAGCAGCACTTTAACCACTTGTCAGCTAATTGGAGTTTTCTACTTGGCTGGCCTAGCAGAGAAACACTACACCGACTAGTGTGGGGAGCTCCATCTTCACAATAGAAGGGGTGGAAATGGCCTGAAAGTACACAACTATTACCCTAGCTTCTTAAGGAATTAAACGGCAGCCAAAACTAACAAATCAAACCAAAAAATTATTTGGTTTTCTGAGAGATTTGACATCAAGTGTTTTTCGCCTTGCTATTAATCCTAGTTTTTTTTTCTGAAAACAAACAGACCCTTCCACCTTAACTGCAGGCATCCATCAATGGTTAAAGTGATAACAAATATATACATAATGAATACTTGCTTTTCTTCATGAAGATAGACAAGGTTCCACTCAAGTAAGTTGCTAAATAAGAAACATTTCTTGTCAATCTGTTTTCTGAGAAGATTTACTTCTATTCTAATTAGGCAAATAGTTATTGAATCCTATGTAGTCTGTGCAGTTCTTGGAGACTTAGAAGAAATAAATGCTGGAGATACAACCCTTGTCTAAAAGAGTTTACAGTGTGATTGGCAAGAGAAAACACATACATGGCATCTTTATCTCTGCATGACAAAGGCCATAGTGACATCAACCTTAAAGGTTTTGTTCACCTGTCTTCTAAACAAGGATGCTAGCCTGGGAACACAGCTGTAAAACACGTGATACTAGAGAGACTTGGGTCCAGATACTAGCTGTGCTAGTTTCTGGGTAGGAATTG
The DNA here is from genome assembly GCF_000001405.40 of Homo sapiens. NCBI lineage: Eukaryota > Metazoa > Chordata > Mammalia > Primates > Hominidae > Homo > Homo sapiens. Next base: position 68,356,897 of record NC_000003.12, on the reverse strand, counting down.
TTAAGCAAAGCATTTAAATTTTCAAAACTTCTTCACCCACATAGTACCTATAAGGATTAAATGAGATGATGCATTCATGTGTTTAGCACAATATATGTATGTATGCATGTATGTATGTGTGTATGGATATGTAATATTCCATATATATCAATTTTTATAAGTAGCAATCATCGTGAGTCAAAAGAAGCTGCATTTGAATTCTGTATACAGCCCTTTATAATCTTGGGAAATCATATAATCTCTCTAAGTTTTAGGATCTTTGGTGTGAGAAGCCATCTCACAGGATGGTGGCGGGAATTAAATCAGATACTGCATGTAAGGAGTTTAGCTTACAGCCCAGTACACGGTTAAGTGCTCACTGATGGTAGCTAGGGTAGCTATTGATTTTGGAAAGATCTTGCTCTTTGGGAGGCTACATAAAATGGCTGTTTTACTGTACCTGAGATTGTTGACTCTACATGTTTCCTTTCCTTTCATAGAAAGAAAGAACCCAAGCATCCGTGTACGCTGCCTTGTGCTACCTGCTGAGCTTGAGCTTTATCCCTTTATACTCACAACCACCCTTAGGGACAAGTTTTAATCATATAATATATATGAGGAAACTGAGGCTGAGGGACAGTGCTTTTCCTGGGGCCATGCATAAGCCTGAAATCATGGAGTCTGCAGGTAAGTGCTATATCACCCAGTATATCAAATTGTTTTTTTATTCCAACCCAAATACTGGATTCAGAAATCTAGTGCAGGACATCCCTCTATAATGACGGTGTTCAGCAGAACTTTCTATTGTGGTGGAAATGTTCTACATTTGTGTTGTCTAATAAAGGAGCCGCTAGCCACTTGTGGCTATTGCTATCAGCACTTCAAGTGTAGCTACTGTATTTGAGGAGCTGAATTTCTAATTTCATTTCAATTTTTAAAATATTTATTTCTTTTAGCTAGGATTTGAACTTAATTATTTAATTTTAAGTAACAAATTTAAATAGTCATATGTAGTTTGTGACTACCAGTTTGCCGTACAACTTGCCTAGCTACAATCATTCAGTCTTTGCCTGAACACCATAAGTGACAGGTTGCTCATCACCTTACAAGCAGTCACTTCATTGCTTTCTAGCTTTGAACATAAGAAAAGCCTTCTTTATGTTGCATTAACATCTGTTTCCCTCTAACTTTTACTTACTTGGCCTGTATTTTTCCCTGGAGCTACATAAAGTATGCTCAATCAATTTCACGAAATTGTATCCCCTAGTGCTCTTTACCATGTTCACAATTATGACGCAGTCTGGGATTGGGGGATTTTTATAAGGCTACTATGGGGTTTTAAAACACTGGGGTGATGCTATAATGGTGGTAGTAATAATCATTAGTATGCACTAAGCACTCACTACATGCCAGGTATTGTCTAAGCCCTTCACATATATTAGTGCATTTATCTATCGTAACAATCCTACTGACTCAGTTCTATTTATTAGCCCAATTTTATGAAAAGGGAACTGAGGTAAAGGGAGGTTAAGTGACTGAACAGAAGTCACATGCCTCTGAAGTGGGGAAGCTACCATTTGAAATGGGGTAGCCTGAATTCAAAGCCCATATTCTTAATTGTGCTGCAACCTGGCTTCCCAAGCCCAGACTTAGAGGAAATAAAAGAGCCCAAAAGTAGGACTATGTTGACTGAGTGTCTGGGGCTCAAAACCCTTACCCTCAGTAAGAGAGGGTTGAAGAAGAGAGCATGATAGACCCCATCTGCAAGACCCTCACAGTTTTTTGCAGAACTCTGGTCTGGCTACCAAACACCACTTCCCATATGTCCACAGTGAAAAAAATGGAAAAGGTGCTCTTGTCCAGAAATTTCACACCAAAATTTCCACAGGGATCTGAACGACCATATAAATGAGTGAAGTGGATTGCTTATAATGATTTGAATGTTTGCGTCCCCTCCAAGCTCATGCTGAAACTTAATTCCCAATACAACAGTATTGAGAGGTGAGGCCTTTAGGAGGCAATTAGGCATAAAGGCTCTGCCCTCTTGAATGGATGTCTGGCTTATAAAAGGGCTTGAGGGGACAAGTTTATCTCTTCCATCCCTTTCATCATGTGAAGACGCAGCATTCATCCCCTCTGGAGGACACAGCAACAAGGCACTATCTGAGTAACAGAGAGCAGCCCTCAGCAGAGACTAAATCTCTTGGTGCCTTGATCTTGGACTTTCTAGCCTCCAGTACTGTGAGAAATAAATTTGTTCTTTATTAATTACCTAGTCTAAAGTATTTTGTTACAGTAGCATGAATGAACTAAGTCAGTTATTTAAGTGTATTTTTATTTCCTTAAATTTGTTCTTGCTCAATTTCTTTTTCTAGATGTTTCATATTCTCTTCACTGTATAGCAAGAGGAGGTAACAAGTGATGGTAATGGCGGTTGTCAGTTGGTCTCATTGTCTGGGAGGCAATAGAGAGTAGCGGAGATTGGGGAAAATGAAGGCACATGTCATGCCTAAAAGAGCAGTAGCATCTCAGCTCCAGCTTATCACTGCTAGATGGAAACACAGGGCTTTTGTTCTCCGAGCTGTCAAGGGAAGTGTGAAATCCACATCAGATCACCTGAGCTTTCAAAGGAAGTGTGAAATCCACATCTTTTATGTGAAATATTTCACTTTTTGAATGTTGACAATTCCATTAAAAGAAATCACCCTGTACTAAAAGCATTGTGGTATCCTACATTAAATCTTGGGATAGAAAAAAAAAATTAGAAAAATAAATGAAATTCAAATAAAATGTAGAGTCTAGTTTTTGTTGTTGTTTGTTTTGTTTTAAAAAATGAACGAAAACCCCTATAGTCAAAACTCGAGGGTCAGTTAGTATATATACAGGGAGAACCCACTGGCTGCTAATATGTAATCTCTAATCCAATCCAAGCACCACATTTAATGGTGGGAAAGCGGAGGCCCAGAGATCAAAAACAATTTGCTTAAAGTTGTATGAATTAGTTGCAGCATTTTGTCTAAAAACTCCATTTTGTACTGCTCAGACTGGGGTTGATTAATTTGGGAATTATAATAGAGCTTACTCTTTTTTAGCCCATACGTGGAATAAAGCAAGCCTGGTGGATTTTGCTTGCGGAGTTCATCACACATGTTAAAACGTTAGGAGACTGAAATACTGTGCGACCTTTGACAAGAATGCTTCCTCTTCCTTCCCTACTGACCTTGCTCCTCTGCTGTCTGCCTCAGGCTCGATTTTTCTGTTTCCTGCCTTTTTCTGAATATTTAGAGTTTTCCTTCTATTGTTCCCTACTTCCCTGCAGCCATTGTTGCATGAACAGCCAGATTATATAGCAAATAGTGGCTATGAATACAAAATGATATACTTGTCCACAAACCTAGCTCAGAAACACCCGGTCCATTAAAGCATCAAAAACTTCTCAAACCCACCAAATAAAAATTACTACTAGAGTGCTCACACCACAATAATCACATGATGTCCTTGTGCAGCTGAACATAAACCGATAAGGTGAGAATCACCTATAAATGGCTTACACGCTATATCAGGCTTTACTTAAGAAACAGAGACACAATCAAGTCCATCTTCACAATGTGACTTCTAGGAACAGAGACAACCAAAGAAACAAAAGCTACAGACTCCTTGTTTGTCCAAAGATGGACCAAAGACTACTAGTGCTTGGTGCTTGGATCAGTTACACAAAGCTGGTGGGAGACAACTGAATGAAAAATCAGAGTTGGGGATAAAATGACTTAATTCCAGCCCAGTGGAGAGCAACAAATCTGTGAAGTGTGCTTTTTTCTCCAGTGAACACAATTTAAGGACAGATAAGGGAGTCATCTCATTTGTTAAAAGGCCCAATTTTAGGAGAACAAAAAAGCCATTTTCCTGGCATAGTGGTTTAATACTGGGTCAATTTGGCTTCTTCGCTTTTTGATTCTGTTTTAGATTTGGTCAGAACAGAAGTCTCCAAAGGCAGCCCTATACCCTGGGAAGGTCATCATAGGTAGAGGAGGTAAATGACAGATGTGGGCTCTAGGTCATCCTCACTTTCCCTTGCTTTGCTTCCAGGTCTTCTTCCCAACTCCTGACCCTCTAATCACCAGTGTCCCCAGGCCTATCACTGACAATGGGACAACAGCCTTCCATGCACTTCTGTCAGTTTTCTTCTGCCATCCCACTGTGGCAGTGGCATCTGCCTTCCTACTGACAGAAACCAGAATATGTCATGCCAAATAGGTCTCTCTGACATAAATATTATTGAGCTAAAGACAGCTAGGCAGCAGCAAACAAAGGAAGAATGCTTTCTGTCCTCCCTTCTTTTCTATACAGACAGATGGAATATAAATTCTCCTTTACTGGAGAAAACTCTTGTCAGCTCAGATATGGCACCAGAGGAATCCACAAACAAACCTTACTCCATTAGTTTACTTCTATATATTTACCTTTCCATAGTTTTTCACCTCTGGAAGCCTAAAACTACTTTCTTTGCCTTGTCAATTCTCTAGAATTTATTGTTATTTTGTTGAAGATGCTGTAGGAGCTAGAGTTCTAAGCCATTGCCTTCAATTACCTTTCACTGAGGTTTCCCCTGCATGATGTGTACTGCATGCGTTAATAAACCTGCTTGTTTTCTCTTGTTAATCTGTCTTTTATTACAGGGATCTGTCCCAGCTACAAATTTATGACTTGAGGAGAAACTGTATTTCCTCCCTGATATCATATTCCTATGCAAGCTCCTACTTGTTTACCTACAAGTGCTCAAGAGGGTGGTTAGTGACTTTTCTCAGATCTCCCACCTCCTTCAGACCCTTACTTTCCTGGAATCTCCCACAATTGTGTATTCTTATTTCGATTATACATCTCTATTCCTTAATGCTCTTAATAGAGCATTCCACACTGCTTTCCAGTGTGGAAGAATAGAACTTGCTGCCCCCAAATAGGAATCCCAAATAGGAATCCCAAATAGGACTGTTGAGCTGAAGACCATTAAGATGAAACAGATGTAGGATAGCTCTCTGACCTCACTCTGCTTGCCTAAAAACAAGACAGAGCTTTGCAAACACAAAGGTAAACTTCCCCCTCTCTGCTGGGGAGAACAAAGTTAACCACTGAAGACAGCTTTACACCCTCATCAGCCTGGAGATGATACCAGAGGAATCCACATTAACAAGCTTGTCTATTACAAGAGCTTTTCTCTTCCAGTTATTTGTCTTCTCCCTTAAATTGCTACCCCTAGAGACTCAAAGTTCTTTTCCTTTGTCTTGTCAACTCTCTAAAAATGTATAGTTCCTTTTTGAAGATGCTATATAAGCTGGAATTCAAAGTCACTCTTAGAGAGCTACTCCGAGTGTCCCCCATGAATATATAAAATACACATGTTAATAAACTTTTATTTTTCTCTTGTTAATCTATCTTTTGTAACAGGTGTCCATTTTAACTACAAACCTATGGGGGTTGAAGAAAAACCCCTCTACTGCATTGAATCTGCTTAATACACTAAGAAATTCTCTGGTGTGGTGTTTACCCCAATTTATCTGATTCCAACAATCGTCTTGGTTGCTCATCAAAAACAGATTTCCAGAACCTATCCTAGGCTCAATGAATTGGATTGTTCAGGACAGTGACTGAGACCTTCCACTTTCAACAAGCAACCCAGGTTACTCTTTTAATTAAGTAACTTTGGCTACCATTGCTCTAGTGCTGCTGTTCTTACCTGGGTGGCACATTAGAAACACCCAAGGAATTTTAACAATACTGATGCCTGGGTTCTAGCACCAGAAATTTGGATTCAGTTGATCTGGAGCATGGCCTGGACATCAGGAATTTAAAAAGCTCCCTGTATGATGCCAATGAGCATCCAAAGGTGGGAAGCCCCACTCTACTGGAATACAGGTAAGCCACCTGTTAGGAGGGAATACTGTCCTTCCATCTCACTAATCAAGTAAGACAGTACCATATGCTTCAGCATAGGAATTCTTTAATGGAATTTCAAAGTCAGTTTCCCAGCTACAAGGGTCTTGGTCTTTTAGCAATGCCCTCATTTCTGCCCTCAGATTAGAATATAGAGACCAGACCAGTTAAGTGGCTGGTCCACGGCCACACGACTACTTATTAGGAGACCCAGCATGGAGCTCTTTCTGACACAGATAAACAACCTCTTCATCAATGCTTAATTGTGTCTGGAATGTATGTTCGTACATGTAATTGACTCTGTCCTGAAGATGTATCCTGCTGTTTTTCTGTTAAAAAGGAATTTAAATTACATCCAATAAACAAACAGGAAGTACAATACCTGTCCTTGTTTTATAGGAGCAATTCTGCAATTTTATAGTGTATAAGAAATACCTTGGGACTTTTTAAAAATGCAGATCCTAGAAGGCTAATTCAGGAAATCTGTGGTAGGCCTAGGTATCTGTAGTTCTAATCTAACTATAAGCATGTATCCCTCCCATCCCTCATGATTCTACTGCAAAAAGTCCAAGGACCAGCCTTTGAGAAACTCTGTTCTGTTATTTATTAGAAGATATTTAAATAAGAACAGCGTGTATAAGATACTGGCATAACATAATTAAATAAGAACAGCATTTGTCTCTCATTGTATATAACACATACTCAACATTTTGCTTTTCTTTGGATTTGTGCAGAACATTAAACTCTCAGGTCTTCTAGAGCAGGGATTATATGCACAGCCTCTTAAAGCAGTGCTTCATCAAACAAAGCCGATTGAGGCGCTGAGTACCAATTTCTTTCTTACTGCAGTCTTGTTATCCACACTTTGGCCCACCAGAGTTTTTAAGATAACATTTGCTACTTATAGCAATAACTATACATATGCACGGTTCAGTTTACAACCCTTAAATCAGAGTTATAGAGTCTAAATTATACAGAGGCCAGATAAATACTGCTAACGACTGAAGTAAACTGGGTTGGGAGTTCATAGGGAGTAGTGGGGACTGTGGCAAACCATAAAGTTCTTCTGTGTGAAAAAAGAACTGTTGTTAATTGGCTCAAGGCTATTATGGTGAATACGGACCCAGAGATGCTGATCTTCTGGGCTCCCTTCCGCATCCCCACTAGGGAAGGTGATAATCTAGATCAGATGTTCATAATCTAAGACCTAATGGCCACACCTGATCCCCTGCTTGCTTTTACAAATAAAGTTTTATTGAAACACAGCCACACCCCCATTCATTTGCATATTGCTTATGGTTGCTTTCTCCCCACGATGGCAGAGTTAAGTGTTTGTGATAGAAACCTGTAAGCCTCAAAGCCTAAAATAGTTACTATCTGGCTCTTTCCAGGTACAACTTGCTGCTTATCTTGACTTTTTTTCCTATGAAATTTTAAAATGCCAGCTGAAAATTTAAAAACACTCTATGCCCAAATAAAACACACATGCTGAAGAACTAAACATCTGTGACTGTTAACTCTTCCTCTTGTCTATATGGGTGCCGTAGGACTTTATCGTCCTTTATTAGTCTTTGCTGTAGTCTCTAAGGGATCTTTATTTCCGTAACACCTTTTCATAAGAGAATATCATGTCCAGAAAAATGGGGACTTATGTGCTGTGATTTCTGGTACAAATTTTTTAGCAATTAGAAAGCATTTTGCTTGTGAAAACGAAGAAAAAAGTAGGTGCAGATAACTTTGAATTTGAAGATGGTAAATGCTGATTTAAACGCTCCAAGCCAAACCCCCCCAAAACCTGAAAAAAGAGATAGTCAAGATAACAGAGCTGGTAGGAGAATTGATCTCAAATTTTATGATGTCCTTAGAAAATAGCAGAATTTTCTGAATCCATAGGGAATGATTCTGGAGAAATTTCCAGAAAGGAAAAAAGAAATCAGTCTCCTATAAAGAAACAAGCAGGAGATTGGCATCAGCTTTGTAACAAGGTTTTAGCATAAGAAAACCAGTTTGTTTTAGAAGCAAAAAGCTTCTACACCTTGTATCAACCATGTTTTAAAATTATTAAAAGCCATTCATTTTGCTTTTGCCCCAACCCCCTCTTTAATATGAATCCTTGATCTTCCTAGTGCAGTTTTTCAACCATGCTACTTTTCATGAACTAATGTGATCTCTTTGACTGATTGCAGTAATTCATTCTTACATTGCATGTTGAGTTTTTAAAATTGCTTTCAGATGTTCTTGGGGTGGAGGAGCGTGGGAAGAAAACAAGGATCATAAAGAAACTTTGATTGAAATATTACAGAACTGTAGCAAGTTGGAAGCCCTTTGCAATTTATTGGCGTTTCAGGAGTCAAGTTTAATTAATAGCTCAGAGAGAAACAGGATGCCTGAATTGGATCTTACAGCTTAAATGTTCCCTCCTCTAACATCTGAAATGTATCTACAGGAACAAAATTAGGAAAATAGGTCTCAGGTAGCTTGCAATGGTTTTCTATCACCGAAATTTCTAGTTCAAGAAAGCATATGAGTAAGACGAAATAAGCTCTTTTATTTAAGTGGCCAAATATATTTGATGGTAGAAGAAAAGGTTAGACATTGTATGTGACTGTGTACTCTGGCTTGGAATTTATGAAGCAGTCCATAAGTATAGTGATAAATGAGTATAATGATACATAAAAATACAAATACTGGTTAGTATAGACTAACTGTGTGCAAAGCTCTGCAGTGAGCATTTTTACATACATTATGTTATTTAATTTTTACAAGGTCTCATTTCATCTTACAGGCAATGGCACTGAGGTATAGAGCAGTTAAGTAACTTGCTCTAGATGACACAGCTAGCAAGAAGTAGGGGCCTAAGTCAAAAGCTCCCGTGGGTGGCACTTTTACCTTTTCAATAACCCCTTGAGGAGTGTCTGCTTTACAGATAAGGTATGAAAAGGCTCTGAGGAATCAACATCAGGGAGTTAGTAAATGGCAGCATCAGGACTAGCACTAAGTCTCACTGATTTTGGTTGCCTTTCAGTAATGCCACACTAGTCCCCACCTGAAACCCTTGCAGCCAGGAATTTCAAATGGAGAGAGATAAAGAATCCAGTAGGAGAAAAGACCCAATAGGAGAAAAATGGCTCAGAGACATTATCCTGAACAAGTTGCAGAGAAGGATAAAAATAAAGATGTACCCTTCCAAAAGGCATATTGTAGTTGACTGTTGCTAGAATATATGATATGATTAAAAGGTAACCTCTTGCCTCTACTCTTTATAAGTAAAGGCAAAGCTAGTGATTTCTGAGCTGGAATCACAGTGGCCCTATGGGCCAAATGCAGTCTAATATCTGTTACTGTAAATAAAGTTCTTTTGGAGCACAACCATGGTCATTCATTTTTATGCTGCCCATGGCTGCTTTCATGTTGCAATGACAGAGTTGCACAGTTGCAACAGAAACCATATGACCTGTGGAACCTAAAATATGTACTGTCTGATCCATTATGAAATAAATAAATAAATCCATTAGGAAATAACTATGTTATACAGAAAGTGTTATGGTGCTGCACTACAGGAGAACCATTTCCAGCTTGGATGAGAGGAAAGTGAAGTTTCCTGCAAACAATAACAGAATTTAAAACTCTTGCCTTTGCCCTGGAGAATACCTAGTCTTGGTAAATCCAGAATGAGAAAGCAAGGGAGCGGATAGCAAGAGAGAGAGGGAAGAGGTGTTGTAACATCATTCAGGGCATCCCTGTGAACTGGTAAAGCAGACAACTAGTATTTGCGGAGTATGTTAAAGAGAAGCAAAATCATTCAGAAACTCAATAGCAAAAATCACACTTTCTGCAAAAGTATAAGCAGTAAGAGAATTCCAGATGAAAATGATGTATAATAACGGCCATGATTCAAGAATTGGTCATCCCAGAGTAGGTGACATAAGATGAAAGCAAGATCCTACATGTGGGATCACAGTGGAGAAAACAGGCTGGACTAATGCAAAAGAACCTTCTGAGAAAAGGGATGGAACTAGTTCCCTCATAGAAAGATCTTAGGATCTTGGGCATTTGCGTCACTTAGGTTATATGTCATGATACTGTTTCTATCAGCCCTCTAGCCTCTGCTATTTGCTTGTAAAATACACCCCAGCATACTAAAACATTTTGTTTCTTGTGTCTTGTTTCAGAAAAAGAAGTTGGGAAGCACCAGTACATCTCATTATTGAAGAATATGGAACAACTCTAGACAGAAAATTTAAACTTGTGCAAATTACTTTGTCGCTTGAAGCCTCTGAAGTCTGCTTTGTCACTTAAAGGAGTTAACCTACAGCAAGTTCTGTGTACAGCAGTTGTCAGATGATAGAGCCTCAAAAATGTTAGCAGTCATTCTCAATCAATGCTTCTGTTGTCACCATAAAGGCCATGAGTTAAAGAACACTCCCAAATACTGTTGCTTTAAAATGTTTGAGCTGGTAGAGAACTTTATGACTACAATGGTCAAGATTTTGGGGCCCAGAGAAGGAAAATGCCAGATAAGCACATCTGCTCCTGAATATTAACACAAGATTGCCTGTAATGTCAGCACTTTGAGAGGCTGAGGTGGGTGGATTGCGTGAGCCCAGGAGTTTGAGACCAGCCTGGGCAACATGGTGAAACCCTATCTCTACAAAAATACAAAAATTAGCTGGGTGTGGTGGTGCACACTGGTAGTCCCAACTACTCAAGAGAGGCTGAGGTGGGAGGATCACCTGAGCTTAGGAGGGTGAGGCTGCAGTGAGCCATGATCATGCCACTGCACTACAGCCTGGGTAACAAAGTAAAACCCTGTTTCAAAAACAAACAAAAACAACAACAAACACACACACAAAACTTAATTCCATCTGAGTAGGCTGCCCATCCCTCTAGTACTTCTAAATATTTTGGCTTCTCAATTAGACAAATCTGATCCACATGCAGCTAGTGAGGTCCCAAGGAAACAGTGTAAAAAAAAGAGCTGCGAAGTAGCCAGCCATTCCTTCTGGAAAAATTCTAAGCAGACTGTTAGTTTGCTGGTAGAGTCAGGCCTGTAAGTTAACAAGCTTCTCTCTCCGGCCAATCTTTTCTATCTTTATCTCTAAAAAAGAGAATGTGCATCTCATTACCAAGTATCCTCAGTATATCTTTTCATCCACCCTTTCCTATCCCCATCTCAAAAAATATGGTATAAATTCTCAATGGGATACCTCTGGTTTTCCAAAACCTTCATTTAAAAAACAAATTCCAACATTACTCCACAACACTTTTTGCAAAGGCCTTTTTATTTATTATTATTATTTCTAGCTGTAAGGTGTTTTCCAGGCAATAGCAAAGACTTGAATGAGATGGTATTTCTCTGCCTTAAAGAAATGCTTGAACATGATCTCCTGGGTCTCCTTGGCCAGCTTAAATGTCACTCTACTGTTCATATCAACGGATTGCTGATTTCTCACGTTTTCCCCTGACTTCTTACACCCTGAGTGCTGTTAATCCCCTTTTCTATTTTCCTCGAGTCAGAGGATTTTCCTGTGTAAAAGGGCAGCTCTATTTCTATATTCATTGGTTTTCTTTGGAAATTGCATTCTGTTATGGAAGGAAGGGCTGCAAGGATGATAGCTACAGACAGATGAGAAATACACAGCAGCCACTCACTGGTCCTTGATTCTGATTTCTTCTTCTAGGCCTCTCTGCCTGAACGAGGTAAGGATTAGATCTGGCCCTGGTTGCTCACTTTCATTCCAGTCCATTGTGACCTCCTGCTTTGGTGACCAATCTGTGGGAATTTGGCAGGAAGTAGGGTATCTCCAGAGGTTCACAGTTGGTCTGGTTCAAAATGGTGATCTCTTCCAGGATGTAGACTGTGAAGGTGGACATTTTGTTACACTCCATATGATGCCAATCTCCTGAGATCTAAATATGAATGAGGCACTAGATTTCCTTGAATTTTTTTTTTTTTTTGAGATAGGGCCTCACTCTGTTACCTAAATTGTAGCTATTTTGAAGACTGTAAAGAACTAAAATAAACTTATTTATAACTTTTGTAGTCAGTGATTAAGAGCATAATTTCCGGTGTTGGATATTCTGTGCTAGCTGTTAGTTGGCTGGTAGAGAGCTTCACTCTCTATTTCTCAGTTTGCTTATCTATTAAATAGAAATAATAAAAGAACCTAATAAAATAACTCAAGGATATTTGAGAATAAAAACAATGACACAAAGCACTTAGCACAATGCCTGGCAGCTAAAGACTGTGTAGATATTTATAACTATCCTCTTCCTTATCTCTGTTGTTAGGTAGCCAAGCCCAGCTAAAACCCTAAAACACAGAGAAGTAACCTACCCAAAGTCACAAAGCTAGGGGGAAAAGTCAGGGCTAGAATCGAGGTTACTTGATAGTCAGTTCAATGTGACCACTTTAGAAGAATGAGAATAATGAACTCCTATGTTAATGATGCAGTCCTGAACAGCATTTCACACCCAAGCCTGTCATCACACACGTCTGTACTCTGGAATTCCTTGATGAGATTATGATCTAAGAAGCATCATTCAACATACATAGCATTTAGAGCCATGTAGACTTGGGTTCATAATTTACTTCCACAAATTCATGACTTAAACTAGAGGTTCCCAAACTTTAGTAAGGTCATGTGGTACCTTAGTGTCCCAGTAGTTTTTCACTGTGTACAGTAGGCCCCCAAAACACTTAATATTTCCATTTATTAAGTAGTTCAAACACCCTAACAGATGTTTATGTTCTGATGTTTTAACATCTGTTTGAAAAAATATACATTATTTGAGAGATATTATAAAATGTCACATATGTGAATATATTAAATATTATAAAAATATAATAAAATCTTTTGTGGCCCACGCCTGTAATCCCAGCACTTTGGGAGGCCCAGGCAGGCAGATCACCTGAGATCAGGAGTTCAAGATCAGCCTGATCAACATGGAGAAACCCTGTCTCTACTAAAAATACAAAATTAACCAGGCGTGGTGGCGCATGCCTGTAATCCCAGCTACTCGGGAGGCTGAGGCAGAAGAATCGCTTGAACCCAGGAGGCAGAGGTTGCGGTGAGCCGAGATCATGACATATCACTCTGGCCTGGGCAACAGGAGCAAAACTCCATCTCAAAAATTGATAATAATATTGCTGCACACTTCTTAAATGTCAGAATCAGATTGGACAGCAGCATTCTTTTTTCTTGTTCTATATTGATTTTCATATGGGTCAAGCTTTTGTTCACAGCAAGAACTACAAACCCGGCTACACAAACAGGACAACATAAAAAAAATATGTGGCAACAAGTGCAACAGAGATATAGTTTGAACCTGAACTGCCTTGAACTAGTAGCTGCCCAACAGATCTCAAGTATCACTGTATTTTCCCAGAAATTTTAAAATATCCTGCAAACCTCTGTGAGATCACTGTAGTATCCATGGGTACCTCAGCATGGAATTTGAGAACCCCATACTTAAGCCAATCTGTACTTTATTATCTTTACCTACAAGTCTGAAGAGACTACTATCATACATAACATTTGTAAGAATAAAATTAAATAGTGAAATTTCAAAGCACAGAGACCAGTATGTCTCAAACTTTAGTGTACATAAGAATCACATATTATTCTCTTTTTAAAAATGTAAACTACCGGTCCTATCCCCAGAAATTCTGACTCAGTAAGATTAAGGGTACCTCAGAAATCTGCATTTTTAATCTCACCAGGAGATTTATACATGGGTGGTCTGAAGACTTATACTTGGAGAAAAACTGCTTGAGATGTAACATTATTTATTTGGGATACATTAAAATGCCAGCAATTTAGAAAAGACAATTAACCTAGGACATTTGCTTCTTAATGGGTAATGAGAAAACTTGAAATGATGCCAGTGGGTTGCTAAGAAAGTTGCTTTCATCCAATTCCCCAGGTAATCAATCTATAGATCCTCACCCACCCCTACAAAGTGCAACCTGACAGGCACTTTGTTAAAGCAACTAAACCTATAGGAAATTTGATCTTTGAATAAGAAAAGGCCTTACAAGAGAAAAATATACTTTGTGTGTGTGAAGAATCTACTATTAAATCTTAAAGGCTGTGCTGTATAAAGTAAAATTATAGTTATTAAATTCTCCACAGATTACAAGGTAGCAGCAGCTCATATTGTAAAGGCCAGATTGGGCCTTTGTGACGCCTAACTCGCTAAGCACAAGGGATGTAGACTTTGCCTCTTGAAGGATATTTGCCTACAGCATAATACCAATAATGGAAATAATATCTGATCATATAAAGTTGAGGCTTTTATTCTCCATAGAACTGAGAAATGACGAGAGAGGCACTCTGGGAATTTTCCCTTTAGATTAAATATTTGAATCATGACTGTCTGAGACAATCACATTCAGCTCGAAAATTACTTTGCTATCTCAAGCATGCTGAGAATAAAAGACACTTTAGGTATCACAATTAAGACATGAAAATCTTATTTTCTGCAGGATTTGTATAGTTAAGAGAAAGACGTATTTGAATGGTACTTAATGTTTAAGCTAAATTTAACTGACTCCATCTTGCTGCACTGATATGGGAATAAACAAGTTCACAGCCTTTCGGAGCTGATTAAAGAAACTCCCCAGAAGCTCATCAGTTCTAAGCAGGATGAGACAAGAGAAACAAAAGCCAACTGGACAAGCACTTTGTTGTTCTGCATCAAGATGGCAAATCTTAGATTTTCTAGTACTTTCTTACATTTACTTCCAAACTGGTTTGGATCTCACATGGGGCTGATACATTATGGAGGCTTTGGAGGACAGGGGTATCTTTGTTTTGTGAGTTTATTCCCTTTATCTTATTTTTGCCAGAGTCAGTGATCATTTCTAGGGAGGCCACCCAGCTTTCAGAATTGGTCAAAAGGGTGGAAGCCTTCCACCCATTCATAGCTCAACTAGCTTTAAGGGGAAGATGGTAACCATTTGATGATGCAGTTTCTTCAGCAAGATCCCATTCTTCAAACGTGCCTTCATTCAACCACCAACTCAAAATGCCACTAGTTCCAAAACCACCTTGGTACTCAAGGCCTTTTCAGGCTAAACTTTCATTCCACATCTCCCAATTTTCCCTATCAAGCTCCAGCCAAACTGAATAACTGAGATCTCTTGGTTTATACTCTGTGGTCCTCTATCTCTAACCTTTACTTCGGTGACTCCTCCTGAAACCAACTTTGCAAAAATTATAACTCAGGAAATTATGACAGTGAAAGAGATCAGACCTAACAAACTCCATTTTCTGCTAACCTTGGAGCTGTCTTTGTTCATTCCTGGGCGGAGGCTGAACTAACCTTGAGAAGGAAAGTAGTTTATAGTTGAACTCTGAAAATTCTGCAACAAAATTGGTAATAGCCCTTTTCCCCCCAGAAAAAAACACCCTTCTTTCCTGGGGACCAGTCTGCCTTTGTACGACTAACAAATTAACTACAAAATTAGAAATTATGGTTTAGGAGCCATGCAGCCTCTAGCTGCAAGAGTTTGAACCTCCCCAAATTGCTCGTGGGAATAACATCACTATTGTAAAACCTAAGATCAGTGTTTGAGATATTTTGCAGACCCTGCACTGGGTGCACCAGCTGACACCACCCAGACAGGCTGTCTGGCTTAACCAGTTCTGCGATCCCACCTATGAAAAGAAGACAGCAAGAAAAACTCACTTCGACCCCCTTTGATTCCATCTCCAACCCGACCAACCAGTACTCCCTACTTCTTGAGCCCCTAACCACCAAATTATCCTTAAAAACTCCAATACTGGAATGCTTGGAGAGACTGATTTGAGTATTAATAAAACTATGGTCTCCCACACAGCCACCTCTGTGTGAATTACTCTGTCCATTGCAATTCTCCTGTCTTGATACATCAGCTCTGTCTAGGTAGTGGGCAAGGTGAACCCATTGGGTGGTTATTCTCTTATTCTGGAAAACTAGCTCACTCTTTCCTAACTTTTAGACATCAACATCTTACCCACGATTTAATGCTATCTCTTCCAGGAAGGCTTCCCTTACTCTCAACGTCTCCACTGTAAGTCTGTTTTCTTTTATCTGAATTCATAGCACAGATCTCAATTTGCCCTTCAATTTTGCCTGAGATTAAGGAAATGTGAATACAGGTCAGATTTCTGTCTTCCTCATTAAATTGTAACTTAAAAAAAATCAAATTTAGTTTTGTATCCATCCCAACATGTAAGACAGGGCATGTGACCCTATCAATGCTCAGTACTTGAATTAATTAGAGAAAAGGATGGATGTGTACTTACTCCTGGAAATCCCTCCAAGAATCTAATGTGCCTAGGCTAGAAATGATTGAGCTTTCCTGTTCAAGGAAATATCCATAGAAAAAAAAATGGGAGAGGAAAATACACAGAATATGTGCCCATCACTCAACTCCAGGGGGAGAGGTCAGTTGCTAAGGAGTAGAGTGCGATGGTGAGTCTATTTAAAGGAAATTTTACCCAGTCTCATTCCTTCGCATAATACTTCGCAAAGGAGAGACTATTTCTACCATTCAAATGCCTTCTACATTTAAAGTCATTCCATTCACATGACATATTGACATATGATCCTGTTAAGTACATTCTCCAATGCAACCACAAAGTTTAGTTATATGGATTTCATGTAGCTTATTTCAGATGGAATCAGAAGGCAGGGAAGGAGATGCCTTTTGGTCCACTGAAACCTTGGCTATTTAAATTCAAAGAGAACCTTAGTTTCTTTTCTTATACCTTGAGGAACAGGTAACAAATGATAGGCTGTGATCTTTTAGGATTCTGTGCTGTCTTCTACAGTAGAATACTCAATTTGCATGTATGTCAAAAACACAGTGGCTTGTTTTCAAAGTTTAAAGCACCATATTTTCATACTAGTTTTTGAGAATCACTTAAGCTTAATTTATTGTTTTGATGGTGTATGAGAACAAACTGAGGCAGTATGAAAAAATAATTAGAAGAAAATAAAAAGGATAGGAAACTCCTTGGTGGAACAAATAGTATTCGTATCAGAAGATGGTTGTGGGAGCTGTCTCATAGCTGCATTTTGTGAGCTGATTGTTAAGCCATTGGCAAATCCAAAGCAGCCATGGTGGGAATATTTACACCTTACAAATCGGTGAACAGTACAAATCATAGCCCCTCCACCCCTCTCTTTTAGAGATGGTTTACCAGCATACCACTGATTAGAGGCTGGCCTAGTCATAGTTTGCAAAGAGGTGGGGAAAAAAGATTGCAATATCTTAGTGATGTTTTCTTTCCTCAAAAATCTACATTAAGGACAAAAGTGGCAACAGCATATTCAAAAACACTGGCAATGTTTAAGTAGAGTTGTACACACTGCAAAAATGTAGTTCTATCTAGAACAAAAGGATTGTAAGTCACAGCTCTACCAAATAAAGCATCAAAAGAGCTTTTAATAAACTTTTTCAATACACAGATTGCCTCTGTTTCTCATGTAGTATATATTAATATAATGTCTTCAAAAAATAAATGAACCTTAACTTTGTCTTTCTCTCTCAAATTGGGTTGGCTATTACTATCCATATTGCCATAATCATTTATAAACAGTAATCACAATCTCTACTGAGCCCATGTCTCTAATCATACAAGTCTCTGTATCTTTATGATTAACATAGCAAAAATGTTCTGAAATTATAACTTTAATGAGACATAAAAGTAAAATCTTGTTTTAATTTGTAGAAAAATTCAGTTCTTTTAATGCCACACTCAGAAACCAATGACATTTCAGTGAGCATGAGAAGAAAAGGAAGGGTGACTATGGTGGATGTAAGCACTGCTGCGGTTCTTTACATACCTACCCTGCTCTCAGCATCCACACTAATTTCCACACTTCTCATCACACTGATATTGGTTTTGGCCATGCGACTTGCTTTAGCTAATTTAATGTAGGTGAAATTGACAGTATGCCTGTTCTAGTCCATATTCTTGAGAGGTATTACATGTTTCTCTTGTCTTCTTGTTATTGACCATGAGACGACTATGCCCTAGGAAGATGCTGCCCTTTAGCCTGAGCCTCAGAAGGAAAAACTTGGCCTGTACTTGAATCCAATCTACAGCACGAATCCAAGCCTTGCTTAGATCAAGCTCCAGACAACTCACCAACCCATAAGCAAACAACAAATGTCTCAAGGCAGTGAGTTTTAGTTTAACTTGTTATACAGCAGTATGGTAGCAATAACTGATTAATACAGTTACCAGATGTTAGGCTAAAGTGGAAATTATTAAAAACTTTCTTCATGATAGTTTATGTAAATCAACCTTGTATACAGGTTTGGAATAAGAAAGCAAAGTTTTGAATCCTGGCTCAATAATTTCAAACCCCTCTAGCCTGCTTTGCCATCTATAAAAAGAGGACAACAATATTCACAAGTTTCTGGTAAGGATGAATTGAGAATCCTTAACACAAAATGCTTCATTATAAAGGGTTCAACACAGAATATGGCACATAATAAAAGCTCAAAAAATGATATCTGTGTTATTTTTATTAGATAGCATTTATCGAACATTCACTGTTAACAGAGGCATGAATACTAACTGAAATCTAGAAGACAAACAAAGCATATTTTTGTTTAAACTCAGAAACCACTAATAAAACAAAACCACCTACAAGGCAACGTATTCAGTACTGACTGTAGAACATAGCCAAAGGCAATTGCTTTGGAATTAAATACAGGTTTGGAACAGGGATTTATTTTTTGAACACCGATAAGCACTGACCGTATCAAAAAGGCTCTGTAAAATGTGATGGATGAGTTCCATTACATAAGTAAAAATTAAAGCATGGCCTCATCCAAGTGTTGTTAACAACAGGCATGAAAGATCCATAGCAGGTAGTCCAGAGCTCATCAGGGAGAAGAGTTTTCAACACAACCTTGTACTGCAAAAACAAATACCCACATCTTTAAACGAACTCCAACCCAAAGAACCTTAAGCTTTGCACTTGAACACCAGCTAATCTAATTTGACAGAAACCCACTAAGTGATCAGAAAATTCAACCATGTGGTCTTCAGTGAATTAATGAAATTGGTTGGGGACTCAATGTCTCAGGCATGCCACACTGCTCTTTTTTCAGCTGGAAGAGAGAAGATCGGCAAATGGAAAAGAATGTGAAGTTTAGGTGGATGTGTACCTCACTTCACATACCTAGGGTTTCCCTCAGAAGCCACAATGTGCCCCATCCCTGTGTCTTCCTGATACCGTTTCAAGGTTACTTTAAGAAATGCAGTACTTAAACATTTAAGAGGGTAGATCTTCTAGTAAGTGTTCTTACCATAAATATACACAAAACAAAAAACAGAATAACACAGGGACACAGGAAGCTTTTGCAGGTGATGGGTATGTTTATTACCTGAATTTTGGTGATAACATGAGTATATACATGTGTCCAAACTCACCAAATAGTATGCATCAATTATGTGCAGTTTTGTATACCAAAGCAACTTTTTTGTACACCAATTGATATCGTTTGGATTTGTGTCCTTGCCCAAATCTCATGTCCAGTTGTAATCCCCAGTGTTGGAGGTAGGGCCTGGTGGGAGGTGATTGGATCATGGGGGAGGATTTCCCCCTTGTTCTACTCGTGACAGTAAGTGAGGTCTCATGAGATATGATTGTTTAAATGTGTGGCACCACCCCCGCTCCCCCTGCCCCATTCTCTCTCTTCCTCCTGCTCCAGCCACATAGGACTTGCTGCTTCCCGTCTGCCTTCGCCATGATTGTAAGTTTTCGGAGGGCACCCCAGCCATGTTTCCTGTATAGTGTGTGGAACCGTGAGCCAATTAAACCACTTTTTAAAAATACATTATCCAGCCTCAGGTAGTTCTTTCTATAAAGAAGTGTGAGAACAGACTAATACACCAACTATATCTCAATAAGCCTGGAAAAGGGGGTAATACTCCAACTAATCTAAATTGTCAAACATTAGGCCGGGCACGGTGGCTCACGCCTGTAATCCCAGCACTTTGGGAGGCCAAGGTGGGCGGATTACCGAGGTCAGGAGTTTGAGACCAGCCTGGACAAGATGGTGAAACCCCATCTCTTCTAAAAATAAGAAAATTAGCTAGGCATGGTAGTGCATGCCTGTAATCCCAGCTATTTGGGAGGCTGAGGCAGGAGAATTGCTTGAATCTGGGAGACAGAGGATGCACTGAGCTGAGATCGTGCCACAGCACTCCAGCCTGGTGACAGATCAAAACTCCATCTCAATAAATAAATAAATAATCAAACATTAAAGGACATAGAATCACCTGGAAAGCTTGTTTAAAATGCATATCCTGCCCAGACCCCAGATATTCTGATTTAATAGCCTACAATGATAATTGTAACTTTCCTTTTCATCCTCATACCTTTCAAGCAGATAGTTTGAAGATTATACTTTGGGGAATATTAAACTACGCTTAATAGAAAGTCACAAACTTTGGCTCTTGGCCAAAGATGTGTTTTCTCACAGATCTGATGGTGGAGAAGAGGAAATTTCACATAGATATTCAGATTTCTGGATTTTCTTTAAAAATAAGATATAGATAATTCTTGAGCCTAGCTTTTTCATGATAAAAGCACATCAGAGGTAAGTAGTATCAGAAAAGTCAGTTAGGAGGATCCCAAAAGCATGAAAATTAGAGATCAAAGTCACTGAGGAAAGGATGTCAGAATTAAGATTTTCAGATACTGAAGCCCAGTTCCCGTGGCTTTAAAATAATCATAGTCAGCATTTAAGGAATGCATGCAATGAGAGGACCCCTCTGCTAGGTGCCTTTTACATATATTGCATCTAATCCCCACAACAACTAGACAAGGTAGACATTATGTTCTTTATTGTCAAATTAGAAAGCCAATGATCAGAGAGAGGAAGTGTTTTACCTAACACCACACAGCTGGCAAAAGTGTGGTGCTGGGCTTCAAGCCCAGGTTTGCCAGGCTCCAAGGCTCGCCTCTTTCTTAATAACCTGCCACTTTTCCAACTCAGTATATTAAGGTGGAAGAGATGTATAGAACAAATGTTGAAAGGAGTGTGCTGGGATCTGGGAACCACAAAGAAGGTGTACAAATGACAACTTGACAAAGCAACAAAGGAAAGTTTTCCATAAGTAAATCTTCTATGTCACCAGTAATATCGTGAGATTTTCTTCTTTTCTAAGGGCATTTTTACTTGAGCACATAATTCAGCGGCAACTGGGTGTTCATTCTAGCTATTGCTATCATCCATTATTTATCCAGTAATTTTTATAATTAATGGAAATTCTTAAAAGCGAACTCAACCTACCAAAGTTGGGATATGATTATATGTGTCTGATACCATTACGTATATGTGTATAAAAACATGCCTTATATTTTATAGGATATCCTCTCCAATTAAAAAAAAATTTGTCCCACTGTTTCCATAAACCATTGGAATGGCCTGGAAATTTGAGTTATTAAGCATCTGAAACCCATTTTAATCCAACTATTTTAAAACTTAAAGGAGTATAAAGTTCTATGTAAGATCATGTGTATAATCATGAGTATGGAAAAGTTGATCTCTGTATGGATAACTCATTCATTGCTATTTCCCAGAGGGAAAAATGGGCAGTGGTACCATAGAAAGACTCAGAGTTGAAGCCCAAATAACTAAATAATAGACATGATATTCTCATCCCTGGAAAGCAAAGTGCTTATCATTTTTTATGCCTCTGACTCTCCATTTACTAAATAAAAGCGTTGGTGATAACATCTATAATTCCTTTCAGCTGCAAATTCTATCAGTCTAAAAGAATTATTAGCTTATCCTATGAAGAGAAAGAAAAATCATACCAAACGCTCTTATAAATAAAAGGCATGTAACAAAAGCCATAATGCAAACACATTTCTCATGAAGCTTGTGAATGACCATTATGGTCACATGATAAAACTCCATGCACAATCACCTTGACAAGTTACTAAGGTTCACTAATCTATGGTTCTGCTCTGCTTCAGAATATACACAGAATTACATTTCTTTATTCCCTTGAAGTTAGGTATGCTCTCGTGACTACTACTGGCTAATGAAATGTGATATAAGTGATGTGTGACACCTTGGAGTCAAGTATTTAATTGCTGGGGCTCTGTTTTCCAACCCTCTCTCTTCCTATCCCTCAGAAGATACAACAAACAGCAAGATGATAGATCCTTCATTGATATGGGTCCCTGAGGAACCCATATCAATGTGTCTCAATGACTTGCCTCAGACATGTAACATGAGTGAGACATATAGCACGAGTGTCAAAACGCTGGGATTTCAGGGTGAATTTCCTACCACAGCAAAAATCAAAATGTGGTACCTGATCAAGCAGCACTGGTATCAGTTCAGAGATTGTTAAAAATGCAGAATCTTAGGGCATGCCTCAGAACTAGTGAGTCAGAGGCTGCATATTAACAACATCACCACATGATTTGTATTAAGATTGAGACACACTGAGAGTCTATCCTGACTTATACATTGCTTAAGTAACTGTCCAATGTAGATATATTTGAAAGATCTAGCTTTCCCTACTGTTCATAAACTCCTAGCATTTTCTTCAACATGTTCAAAAGCTGTTTCACAAATCGACAAATGTAACAACAACAACAACAACAAAAGAAATATAGTATCTCAGCACTGCTTTGAACTATGCCTAATAGAATGAATGTTCTCTGTTCCTATCTTGAAGAATGAAGAAAGGAAAACATGTATAAATGGCCCTACCCATACCATTTTTTCTATGTATAAATGCATAGTAAAATCATTACCACAATCAAGCTGATTAGCATGTTCATCACCTCATAGCATTATTTTATGTGTGTCATAAGCTTACCATTTACTCTCTTGGCAAATTTCAAATATACAGTATATTAACTATAGTTTCCATGTTGCACATTGGGCCTCCTGAACTTTTTCATCTTATAACTGAAAGTTTTGTACCCTTAGACCAAGATCTCCCCATTTCTCCCACCTCCTGAAATCCTGGTAACCACAGTCTTACTTGTTTCTATGAGTTTGACTTCTTTAGATTCCACACGTAAGTGAAATCACACAATATTTGTCTTGCTGTGGATGGCTTATTTCATTATAATAACATCCTCCAGGTTCATCCATGTTGTAATTGATGGCAGAATTTCCTTCTTTTGTAAGGCTGAATAATATGCCATTTCTTCATTCATTCATTAATGAACACTTGTGGTGACTCTGTATCTTGGCTATTGTGAATAATGCTGCAATGAACATGGGAGTGCAGATCTCTCTTTCACTCACTGATTTCGTTTCCTTTGGTTATACAACCACAAATGGGATTGTTAGATTACATGTTAGTTCTATTTTTTAAAAAACTGTTATTTTAGGTTCAGGGGTACATGTGCAGGTTTTTTATATAGGTAGATTTTGTGTCGCAGGGGTTTGGTGTACAGATTATTTCATCACCCAGGTAGTAAGCATAGTACCCAATAGTTTTTTGATCACCCTCCACCCACCCTCTACACTCAAGTAGGTCCCTTTGTCTGATGTTCCCTTGTGTTCATATGTACTGTGTTTAGCTCCTACTTATGAGAACATGTAATATTTGGTTTTCTGTTTCTGTGTTAGTTTGCTTAAGATAAAGGTCTCTACCTTCATCCACATTGCTGCAAAGGATATCATCTCACTACGTGCAGTAGTATTCCATGGTGTATATTTGCATTTTCTTTATCAAGTTTACTGATGGTCATTTAGGTTGATTCCATGATTTTCCTATTAATGGTGATGTGAAAAACATACACATGTATGTGCTTTTATGACAGAATGATTTATATTCCTTTAAGTATATACCCAAGAATAGGATTTCTGAGTCTAACGATAATTCTGTTTTAAGTTCTTTCAGAAATTGTCAAACTGCTTTCCACAGTGGCTAAACTAATTTATATTTCTACCAGCAGTGTATAGGTGTTCTCTTTTCTCTGCAACCTCACCAGCATCTGTTATTTTTTGACTTTTTAGGAATAGCTATTTTGATTGGTGTGAAATGTTATTTAATTGTGGTTTTGATTTACATTTCTCTAAATGATTAGCAATGTTGAACACATTTTCATATGGTTATTGGCTGTGTGTTCTATTTTTAATTTCTTGAGGAACTTCCACTGTTTTCCATAATGGCTCTACCAATTTACATTCCCACCTACAGTGTTCAAGAGTTTCTCCATATTCTCATCAACACTTATTATCTTTTGACTTTTTGATAACAGCCATTCTAAGAGGTGTGAGGTGATATCACAGTGATTTTGATTTATATCCATGATGAGTGATGTTGAGTACCTTTCCACATACCTGTTGGTCTCCTTCATTTAATATGCATGTCTTCTTTAGGACAATGTCTATTCAGGTCCTTTGCCCAATTTTTATTTAAAAAATTTTGTTTTTGCTGTTGAGTTGCATGAGTTTCTTATATTTTGAATATTAACTCCTTGTCCAATACATGGTTTGCAAATATTTTCTCTCATTCTTCAGGTTGCCTTTCATTTTGTTGACTGTTTTCTTTGCTGTGCAATAACTTTTTAGTTTGATGTAATCTAATTATTTATTTTTGCTTTTTATTTTTTTGCCTGTGCTTTTGGCCAAAAAATTATTGTCAAAACAAATGCCGTGAAGATTTTCTACTATATTTTCTCCTAGGAGTTTTATGGTTTCAGATGTTACATTTAGATCTTTAATCCATTTGGAATTGATTTCTATGTATGGATCCAATTTCTTTTTTTTTTCTGTTTTCTTTTTGTATACAGATATGCAGCTTCCTAACACCATTTATTGAAAAGACTATCCTTGGCCGGGCGCGGTGGCTCACACCTGTAATCTCAGCACTTTGGGAGGCCGAGGCGGGCGGATCACGAGGTCAGGAGATCGAGACCATCCGGGTTAACACGGTGAAACCCCATCTCTACTAACAACACAAAAAATTGGCAGGGTGCGGTGGCGGGCACCTGTAGTCCCAGCTACTCGGGAGGCTGAGGCAGGAGAATGGCGTGAACCCGGGAGGCAGAGCTTGCAGTGAGCTGAGATCGCGCCACTGCACTCCAGCCTGGGCGAAAGAGCGAGACTCCGTCTCAAAAAAAAAAAAAAAAAAAAAAAAAGAAAAGAAAAGACTATCCTTTACCCATTGTTCATTCTTGGTGCCTTTATTGACAATTAATTTACCATATATGAATGGGTTTACTTCTGTCCTTTCTGTTCTGTTCCATTGGTCTGTGTATCTGTTTTACACCTGTAGCTCTGTAATATAATTTGCAATCAGGAAGTGTGATATCTGTTGTTCTTGCTCAAGATTGCTTTAGCTATTCAGAGTCTTTTTGTGATTCTATGCAAGTCACACAAATTTTGTAATAACCTCCTAAAAGGTGCCTGATTTTGGCTTCAAATCTTTACAATAAACATCTTTGTAATGGTAGAGTCCTAGTAACCAACTTATTTATTTTTTAAAAAGTCTATTATCTTACTAGCATTCATTCATTTATTAAATATTTTTCAAGTATCTACTATATGCCTGAACTATACAATATAAAATTCATCATATAAAATGAAATTTAGTGGCATTTAGTACATTCACAGTGATGCAAAACCATCACCACTATCTAGTTTGAGAACATTTTCTTCAGGCCAAAAGGAGAACTTGTACCCTTCAAGAAGTCAGTCTCCATTCCTGTCTCCCCATAACCCTAGCAACCATTTATTTACTTCCTGCTTCAATAGATTTGCTCATTCAAGATATTTAATATAAATAGAATCATACAATATGTGACCTTTGTGTTTAGCTTCTTTCAGTTAGCATCATGAATTTTAGGTTCTTCCATGTTATAGCATGTACTAGTACTTAATATTTTTAAGATTGAATAATATTTCATTGAATGGATATACCACATTTTGGTTATACTTCATCAGCTGATGGACATTTGTTGTTTTTTGTTTCACCTTTTAGCTATTGTGAATTGTGCTGCTGTGAACATTCTGTAAAAATTTTTGTTTGAACACCTATTTTCAATTCTTTTAGGTATGGAACTATTTTTAAACTGTGAAAAAAAAACACATATGAAATTCCCTGTCTTCAAGGTATTTAAATCTAGTAAGGGCAATACAAATATTTATTGAGAGTAGAAAATGTCACAGCCAGATAGACTAAGACCATTAAGGCAGTCTTTCAGGTAAATATCTCAAAGCTAAAAACTTCCAAAATTATACAAACCAAATAAATGAATAAAACACAGTCATGAAGCTTAGTAGTTTATTATATCTGATTCCAATCCCAGTTCTACCACCTACTAGTTATGTGACCCAAGGCAACTTAATTTCTCTAAGCTTTGATTTCTTCCCTTGTAAATTGTGAATATTGATAACATACCTTGCATCCCAGGGTTGTTTTGGGGATTAAGTGTGATAACACACATAAAGCACAGCAAGAACTCAATAAATTGTCATTTCTATTATGTGCATTTCAAAGCAAAATAAGACTTAAGACAAAGTAAAAACATATGAAGGGGACCTGGTATAGCTCTCCAGATCCCCCTGTGTGACTTTGTTATTGAAATAATCCACACAGTAAGTAATCCATTTATGTGGTTTGATGAAGCCAGCCTTACTCTCCAGTTGCAGTAATAAGCACCTGGATCAGCTTGGTTAATAGAGGCCTCAATCACATGGCCAGATTGATGGTTTCAGGAAAGGGCATGCAACCCAAACTGAACCAGAATCTGAAGTGAGGTTTCTTAGAAGAAGCCTGGAAGAGAAAGACTTCTTTGCATCTAGAACTATGACGACGTAACCTGTAGCTTCTTTTGACCATTTGCCCATGATACATGGACAAAGCCAGTTTCTGTAAGAATTAGGCCAACACACATATATAAGTGGTACTGATACACAGTCACATATCTATTAACATTCTCTGAGCCCCTGGACCCAGCTATCCCTGCAATTGGACACACAAGAGTACTTCAGTTTATGTGTGTATCCAATGTGTATGCATGTACTTATGTATTTATTTTGCCAGCTTGACTTGGGGTTTGGTCATTTTTAACTTAAAAAACCAAGACTAATGCAAAATTTAACCCAGAACCAGGTGAATTAATTTTTATATAATTCTAAATTAATAAGGTATGAAAACCCTCCCATTTCTCTATCTCTCAGCACAGAATTTCTTCATAAACATGATAGGTCAGAGATTATTCATACACAGCCACAGGCTGCCTCTGTCTCTCCTGTTTCCAACTTTATACATGTAAAACTCTTCCAAAGTGTAAGGTTAACCAGCAGCTAGTATTGAAGATGTGTTCCTTGAGCTTGTAGAAAGCCAATGGTCAACATATGAGACTGTGGGCATTAAAACAAAGCAAAACAACAAATTCACAAGAGTCTTGTTTGAGAGCAAAAAGGATCTGATAGTCAAGAACTGTGGCCTCTGAACTTCGAAGCCAATCTCTAACATGTCATTAACCATCACCACACTGAGTAAAGACTTATCCCATGACAGAACTGGAACTGAATAGATATGCTGGCACAGATTATCCTTGAGGGGCAGTCTTTGGAAACATAGGCACCAAAATGATACATTTAACATTAAGAGTGGTCACAAGTGGCTGGGCGCTGTGGCTCACATCTGTAATCCCAGCACTTTGGGAGGCCAAGGCAGGTGGATCACGAGGTCAGTAGTTCGAGGCCAGCCTGACTAACGTGGTGAAACCCCGTCTCTACTAAAAATACAAAAAAAAAAAAAAAAAAAAAAAGGCAGCCAGGCATGGTTGTGCACACCTGTAATCCCAGCTACTCAGGAGGCTGAGGCAAAAGAATTGCTTGAACCCGGGAGGCGGAGGTTGGGTGACGGAGTGAGACTCTGTCCCAAAAAAAAAAAAACAAAAAAGTGGCCACAAGCAAGACTGTTTACTTCTCTAAGGAGGCTTGGGAGAGATAAGGGCACAGATAGAATCACAGTGCTTAGTAACATCATGGGGTTACTTTTTTTTCAATTTTGTACATGGCTTGGAACCATGATGCCATTTTGTTTTTGCCTTCCTATTTGATTTTTATTTCATAACATTTTTTAAATCACTCCTCTTGGTTTACCACTAGTCACCTTTCTTCTTAGCTTCCATATCATTGTTTCCTACCATTAAGCTCTAATTTCTAGTTCAAGTTCATCTGTTTCTGCTCTTCAGAGATGCAAGGCCATATACATATTTATTATATATAAAGAGTTTATTTTTTAAAATGAATAAAAAAATAAAGAGTATACAGAAATAAGTGCCACTTGTGAGTTGATACTCAGGCAAAGAGAATTCCAAAATAAACTGCATAATAAAAATGAATAGGTAACACATCTATGCCTCACGTTAGCCTGCTAGTTTATGCAAATCCCTGGAAAATGCTGTAGGCAAATTGTGATAATCCACCAAGGTTGAAATGTTTGTTAACATCTCTCAGAAAACAGCTGAAATGCTTAGACTAGCTTCCCGGCCCAGCAGACATTTTCCCCAGCAATTTTAGCTGAAGGGGCTTCAAAACTGTGTAATAACTACTTTCCCCAAACACAAATCTGAAACTAAATAGGATCATCAAGAAGAAGAGACTGTCCTTCTGAAACTGGGACGGCAATTGCTGTGTTCAATAAAAATAGCATCTTACCCAACATCAAAAGCAATTTTATGAAATTGGTAATTTCAACACTCCACACAGCCCAAGCCAGGCACTGGGGAATGTATTTGTGAGAGCAGCACAAAATCCCAGTTGATCACCAACCAGCTGATTCATGAAAACCAGGCATGTAGAAAATATAAAATATGAGGCTGGCTTTCCAGTTTTGCAAAATGAGAAAAATGAGATCCTAGATCCTAGCCAGTGTCAAAATGTAACATGTTTTTATACCAACAGATTCACAGGCCGACGTTAACCAGGCTGAACAACAGATATGCCCTTGAAGGTACCATATTAAAAAAAAGTTAACACGCATGTAATCAATTAGTAGTCTCAATACCCAGATGCCTCCATTAAAATTTTCTCCATACCATAAAATGCTACAGTAAGAACTCAAGGGTTTGGAGAGTGTCTGGTTTGTAGACCACCTGGGTCCATATCTTTTTCATTATGGAGACTAATAGTGAAGTAAGGCAGCTCTATGTCATGCTTTAAATGATATAATCCATTTGAAAAGCCTTCATTAATAAAAACTCAGCATCCATGAGATGTTGGAGATTTTTATGCATGTTAATTGATTATGAATAAATGATACTGAACTGTGCACTGGGCAGTAATACCCCAACTAATGCCCTTTGTTGAGTACTCACTTTGTGCCCAGCACTGAGCCAAGGATTTATATGAATTGACCCATCTAATCTTCTCAGCAAGCCTAAGAAGTTAATATTGTTAGCTCAATTTTACTGATAAAAGAATTGAAGCTTAGAGATGTTTCATATTTTGACCAGTTTCATGCTGCTAGCAAGTGGTGATCTAGTACTTGAACCCAGATTGGTCTAACATCAAAGCCCATACTTCACTCATGTTGTATCCCCTCAGTTATACAACCATTTTACTTTCAAGTTTTTGTAAAAATGTATTTCTTACAAATACATTTTTACAAAACTCTGCTAGAACTGTAAATGATAGGCCTCAAATTTCTGAAATAGTCTCCCGGTTAATATCCAAATACATCTGAGAAAGAGATAAATTTTGCAATATTCTGCTCTCATGATGCTAATAAAGACATACCTGAGACTGACAATTTATAAAGGAAAGAGGTTTAATGAACTCACAGTTCCACATGGCTGGGGAGGCCTCACAATCATGATGGAAGGTGAAGGGGAAGCAAGACATGTCTTACATGGTGGCAGGCATGAGAGTTTGTGCAGGGGAACTCCCCTTATAAAACATCATATCTTGTAAGACTTATTCACTATCACTAGAATAGCACAGGAAAGAACCACCCCCATGATTTAATTACTTCCCACTGGGTCCCTCCCATAACAACTTGGAATTACGGGAGCTACAATTCAAAATGAGATTTGGGTGGGGACACAGCCAAACCATTTCAGCAATCTAATCTATAATCTAGAATTTGGAACTCTCTATTTAAAGATGTCCAAACTCTGTTTTGTGGTTTTGGGTTTGTCACATAACATCTCTCAGCCCCTATTTATTTATCTTTTCAAAGGAGATAATATTTCTTATTTCTCAGAGCCATGAGGCTGAAATGAGATAATATTGAGAGATAAGTGTGCTATTGTGTCTACCTGATAATAAGGGCTTTTCAAATTCTGATTTTCTTTCCTTCTGCCATGATAATTCTTTTTATTTTATGGTGAAAAATGTATGTATTCTTTCAAATATCAAATTCTGATAATGAAATGGCCACATAGATTCTGATAACACAATGGCTAACAGACAGCATGGACAATGCAGGATTTTGCAGGACAGCAGAAGGGGTGAATTGCAAGCAAACTCTCAGGTCAACATGTTCCAAGACTGATGTGAACATATGATATCTTAAATGGGAAATACCAATGAGGCACAGATATGACCAGTGAACCCAGCAATTTCCCAATGGTGCTTATTCTGTCACAGTTCCTCCCTTTCCAGGCTTAATTTCCAAAGATAATTGTCAATGACACAAACCAGAGGCTGCAGTAAACAGTCATTTAAAACAACTGAAGACACATTTGAGTTTCAAATATGTGACACAAGGAACATGTCAAAAGTTGGTTTTGTTCAATAATAGTATCAGTAAAAAGGAAATCCAGCATTTTCTATCAGTCTGAAAATGTTAATTCCTTGTTTGTCAAGTAAAAATAAGAAAATACGTAGCTTTAGGGAAACAACATTTGGGACTTAGGAGCACAGTGAATTCCAAGAAGTCCTAATATTTCCTTTAAATTGCCATTTGTTTGAATTCTCAGACATTCTAATGTATTCTATTTCAAGTTTATTTATAAATAGCTAAGATCAAAAAGTGTTTACACCTGCTGCCCTGTAATGAGTCCCTTGTGTAACAGCTTCCCAATCACAAAGCAGTGATTGTGAATTTGGGATCTGGGTTCCAGTCTCAGATTTATCACTAGCAAGATACACGTCATTGGGCAGATTATTTAACCTCTCTCAAATCCTAGCTTTCTCACTTAAAAAGGGGGCTTAGAAGAGCCTCTGGGATTCTTACAGAGTTATGGGAACTGAATAAGCTTATGAAGAATTTAATACGTGCCAGCTATTATGATTAACACAACTATGGGTCTTAAAATCTTAACTGATTTACCTCAAAGCCCACAGTCATTTCAGCTCCTAGAGGGGAATTTTCTAGTTTGTTCCTAAGTTTACTCTTGATTTTATAGAAAATGAGACCTAAGTAAAAAGAAGTTATTTGATATGCCTATGTAACATAGCCAGAACATAGACTATAATAGTTGCAAAATTAATAGAGTGATAAGCATAATCACTATCATGATAGTAGATACAAACATGCACTGAGCATTTATCTCATGCCAGGCTCTACTCTAAAATCTCCACATATGTTGCCTAATTCAATCATCACAACACTCTGAAATGTAGATACTATTCACCCTTAGTTTACAGATGAGAAAGAGATTGAATAACTAGCACAAAGGTCACATAATTAGTATTTGGGGGGCTAAGAATTAAACCCAGATGATGTGGCTCTTAACTCGGGCTCCCAACCACGTCGCTCTACAGGGAAAGATATGTGTTCAGCTTAATCTTCTACAAATGGTGACACTGATGCCTTGGTGCTGTTAAATATTTCTTCTAGGGTCACACAACTAGTAAGGGACAAACAGGCACTCTAGTTCAGACTACTTCTTCTATTGCAATGATTTCCAAACTTCTGTGATTTTTGTGAATAAATTGAAGAGAGAGAGACAGACACACTCTTGACTGGTGTCAGTGTGGAGCAGATCTGGCAGTAGACCATGATGCCCTTCTGCTGAATACAAACAATTTCATAGAATACCCACCCACATTAGACAAGGCCACTCTGTGACTGTGATGAAGACTGGCAAAATGAGACAACTTTCTAACCACGTCTGAGCATAGACCATAACACAGACATGAGCCAAACTACAAAACAGAACAAATCATCCCTTTCCTGCCTAAAAAGTGACCGTTATTTCTTTGCTAATTACTGCTTTAGCTCCACTTCGTTTGTCCTACCTACTTATAAAAATAAGATATCCAATCTAGAATTATTTCTACAAGTTGGTGCAAAAGTAATTGCAGTTTTGCCATTTTAATGGGGGGAGGACACATGATTTAGGTTTAATTCTTAGCCTCCCAAATACTAATTATGTGACCTTTGTGTTTCGTAATGGCAACAAATGCAATTACTTTTGCACCAACCAAATACTTGTGAGCATTCAATTCAGGGCAAAACCATGAAACCTCTCCAAATTATGTCACAAGCCAAATCCTACAACAAATCCTTCCCCACACACCTTCTGTGACTCCTTGCACTTCCAAGGTGTGCTCCCTCCCTCTCTGTTACAAGCAAGAAATTCAACATTTATTGACTACAAGTGTGTTCCTAGTATGCTTCGGGGCTTTTTGGCTGTCCTGACATAGAATTTTCAAACATATTTTGTATTATGAGAAGATGTGTATATATAAACATTTAAAATTAGCATCTAACATCTATGGCCATGGTTTTTAAAAGAAAGTATATTTATCAACAAGGCTATATTTATCAACAAGGCTATATTTATCAACAAGGCATAGAAAAATATCAAAAACAAACACAATCCACAAACTGTAGTGAATATTAATTTAGCTTTATGAAAAAAAGTCTATATTATCCTTATTTTCCTTAATTCATTTTGGTCTGGCAAAAGCTTTGTCATGGCCCAGCACTGCCAGGAAGAAATCTGGGCTTTGGAAAATCGAAAGCATATACTACAATTTGGAGATGGTGGAGGCTCTTTAAGAAAAATACAAAATAAAGTGGGAAAGTTGGTATTTACGGAGAATGAAGAAAGAAATGCAACAATTCCTGGAGTCTTGGAGACATAGGTGCCCTTCTTCTGGTATTTCCTCAGGCACTTTACCAGAGACACATAGACAGATTATTCCTGATTGCTATCTGGCTTGCCCTCCCAACGTGGAACACAACATAAAACTCGTGTACAAGTGAGGACTCCAAGGCTAAAGTTCCATATGTTTCATAGTAAATCTGTCCATTGCTAGCATTTGGTAACACTGCCTCATGTCATGCTGCTTCAGAGAATTATTTTTCAAGAAATGAATTCTAATGAATCTCACAGGTTAAAGGAATATACAATATTTGTATCATTTGGTTCACTATCTGACTGTTGGCTATTCTTCCTCCTCCCCTTTCAGCTTAAAACTACCATGCACATTTTAGCCTTGAAAAATCATAATTTTGAAGGCTGAAATTACAGAGTTACACATACGAGGACAGTCCGTTCAAAACCTTTTGGGCAGAGAATTGTCAATCACTGACCTGTAGTTAACTCAGATGCTGTTGCTTCCTTTCCTCGAAAAACTCAATGTTTTATTTGGTTTGGTTTGGTTTCTAATTCCCCTTCAGCTTTCCTTTACATTTGTGTTGGCTCCTCTTTCCTGACTCCTCAACCTGTTCTCTAGTTCTGGCCACGTGAATCTATTCATTTCAGTGAATTGTTTACAGCTGGGTAGGTCTGCAGGTGGCAGCTAATGTATTGTACAGGTGGCTGCATAAATCCTGATTCATTTCAGCTGGAGGAGGTAGTGTTCTCCCTGGAATATGTTTAGTTCGCCTGGGTCTAGGGCAGACAGCCCTGGTCATACCAAAGCCAGTGTTTGAGGTAAGATGATATATGGCAAAATCACATTAGCATTTTATGTAAGATTTATTTTTCAAAACATCTTTTAAGATAAGCCATGGCACCGCTTTTCAGCAATTGTGATTATGATTATTGACCACAACTGGTCCTGATTTTCCTGGGGGTAGGGATATTGTGTGCTGTACTGGGAGTGTCCTGGTACTCAGAGAAATACTTTTTCTTTTTTGAGACAGAGTCTTGCTCTGTCCCCCAGGCTGGAGTGCAGTGGTGTGATCTTCGCTCACTGCAACCTCTGCCTCCAAGGTTCAAGAGATTCTTCTGTCTCAGCCTCCTGAGTAGCTGGGATTACAGGCATGCACCACCATGCCCAGCTAATTTTTGTATTTTTAGTAGAAATGGGGTTTCACCATGTTGGCCAGGCTGGTCTTGAAGTCCTGAGCTCAAGTAATCCACCTGCCTCGGCCTCCCAAAATGCTGGGATTACAGGCATGAGCGCCCGGCCCCTGACTATTACCATCTTTAAGGGACCTTATAGCAGCCAACTCCTGGGCTCAGGCAATTCTCCCTCCTTGGCCTCCCAAAGTGCTGGAATTACAGATATGAGCCACTGTGCCTGGCCACAGAGAAAGACTTTTAACACGTGTCTAAACTTGGTTGGGCAAGACATGTAACTTCTCCAAAACTGGGTCTCCTAATAAAGTGGATACAACTGCAATGACGTCTTAGGATTGTGAGAATTAAGTAACATACTTGACTCTCCGGCTTCCTTGAGTGAAGTATGTGTCTTCCTAAGGGTATAGATGATTTTGAGAGGAATAAAACGTCAAGGGCACAAACCCAGCAAATCTTATAGAAGCATTAATTTTACTTAAGGATTGAGCTTTAAATAATTTAATGAGTATGTTAAAATACTATTTTTATGTCAAAATAATTATGGAGCTTGAAGCAAAATATGTATGCTTTCTTTAAAGATATCTATAATATAAGATCAGAGAAAATTTGTACTTGTATATGTAATTTTAGCTTATGGCCCCAGGCCCAGGAAATTAGGAAATTAGCCTCCTCTGCCATTAGGCCTAGTTTGGTTTAAAATTTAAGTATGTAAAATTCTTTTGTATTTATAAATTGCACAGTAAGGTTTTGGCACAATTTTAGTGTACATGCAGCTGTGGGAAAAAAACTCTGTCTTTGGGAATGGATAGCGCTGAAATGCATGGGAACTTCTTTTAAGGTGGAAATATATCTTTTATGAATGATATTAATGGAAGAGAGAAGAAAGTGATTATTCATATTTTGGGCCTTTTCAGGAAACCTTGGAGATTTCAGTTGGCTGTTTCCTTTAAAATGGCAGACTATTGTCCTCCTGTGGTTTTCATTGCTTCAAAGTCCAGATGGAGACTGAAGTGGGCTGACAGAGCTAATAAAACTTAGAAAGCAAGGTGGGAGGAGGTGATGGGGATGGATGAAGGTAGGGAGAGAAGGACATGGTCAGGAAAAGAGAATGGGAGATCAATGATGGCTTCCTGTTAGCCAAATACTTAGCAAGCACGCAGCACACAGCATGCAGCTTCCTGAAAAGCCCTAGCATTTTAAATTTCAGACTTGTTTTATTATTATATGCCATTTTCACCAAATGACTCTTAGAAAAGCCAAAGCTGAAAAAGAAAGGTCTTGAGTACTTGGTTCTTACATATTTACAATTTCATTTATTTATTAACTTCCCTCTTTCTTTCTCTCCAACATCAAAGGAAATATTAATTAAAGACACCCCAGAGGAGATGGCCATACTAACAGCTAATTTATTGAGCCTTTACTATGGCACACAGGCTTATTAAATCTTACAACTAAGCTATTGAAGTAGGGGCTATGATTATCCCCATTTTATGGGCATGACCAAGAGGGGTAATAATAATAGCAGCTAATGTTACAGAGGGTTTCCCATGTGCCAGGCAATGCTCTCATTGCTTTTGTATATTAGACTACATCCACCTCATAATAATCCCAGGAAGCAGGCCATATTTATCCCCTATTCGAGAGAAAAAGATACTCAAGTAAAGACAGAGTAATTGACTTGACATAACACAGTTGGCAAGAGGTAGATCAGCGATTTCAACCCTGACAGTCCAGCCTTGAAGCCCATTCTGTAATATAGTCTGTGTGGCCCCCAATGTATATGAAAAGTGGAAACGTCTACTCTGTTCTGCTGGAGGAGATATTAGGGCTAGACCATGCCCAGCGCCTCCTTAGCACCTTCTCTCTTTGTCCCATTGGGAAGAGGGAGTCTATCTGACTGCAGACCAGGGGAGAAGGAGGTAAGCAGGAGCACTGCTTTGGCTCCCTCTGGGGTGCAGCCTATTCTCAGGGTGCATGCTTTCTCAAATTCCTGCCTTGTTTCACAATCTAGAGTTTGAGATGAGAATAAGAAGAATCTTTGGAACATGGTTTTCATCAGGAAACTGGCTACAGAGGTGACAGAAGAGCTTTGAAGCCAAAGAAGAGATGGGTATTAGCAGTAACAGGGAGCCACCTCTGGCCCTGGGTCACAGGGAGAGCCCAGGCAGGTAAGTTTACTGGGACTAAGTACCAGAGTCCAACAGTAGAAGGTGGGATCATGACAGGCCTTTCTGCCAGGATCGGGAACCAAGGAGGAGATAGGCTTGCTGCAGATAACATGACAGAGAGGGAAAAACACCCCTGAGTCTCCTTTCCCAGTACCTTCCCGTCTCCCATCAGTGAAGCCCATTGGCTAGATCCAGCTGGCACAAGAGCCTGGAAAGTACAGTCTGCAGTGGGCAGCCTCTCCTTGCCCAGAGCAGAGCAGGGCAATGATGATGAGTATATCTGAAAGCATGAAGACTCAGAACACACCCCTGCATCCATTCAACTTGGAGGGGAAGATACAAGGAAGCCAGGTTGTGGCCACAAACCAAAGCCTTGTTCTCAAACTGCTTTACCAGTAAGAAAGCCAAAATGTTATTTTAATCTTCATTTTTAAAACATACACCATCTCTCAATCGACTTGGATTTTACCGGGAAAAGAAAAGGGGTTTGATAAGTAGTATATTCTACCCTCACCTCAAATGGTGAATAAGGTTAAATGTAAATATTATATATATCCATATATATGTAAACATACTGTATATTTACTCAAACTGCACATAAAATATTCAGGTAAAATTATCATTTTAGGAGAAACACTGTTTTAGTCGTATTCTCATCACTTGCTTTATCAAAGCTATCAAGCATTCTAGTGTTACTATGAAAATAACTAATTATTTCTATGATAATGAAGAATTTAAATAGCTCAGTATGATAAAGTAGATTCAAACCATGGCTTAGTTTTCCCCATCTTTGGAATACTAAACTGGAGTAAAGGATTTAATGCTTCTAATATGAAAACATGTATTTTAAACTTTAAAGAAAAACATTTATTTCTCAATCCATTTTGAGCATGATGAATTCATTTTGGGATGGGGACATGAAAAAGTGATTTTACCTAAAGGACAAAGCCAAGAATGAATTTAACTTAGTCAAAGTCCTAAGTGGTAACAATGGCAAACAACAGCAATGCGTATCCATGTGACAACATTGGACAAAACTTGAGCAATAAGCCATTCGGGCAGGGTTTCTCAACTTTGCAGTATTGATATTTTGGACTCAATAATTATTCGCTGGGGATGAGGATTGCTCTGTGTAATGTAGGATGCATCCCTGGCTTCTACCCACTAGATGCCAGTAAGCCTCTTCCCTGCCACCCCCAACCAAGCATCAGTCATGACAACCATGTCTCTGCTATTGTCAAATGTCCCTGGGGTGGGGGAATGATGAAGGAAGGGGGCAAAATAGCCCCTGGTTGAGAATCGCTGTTCTAGAGATTTGTATTTCTCACTCACATTATCCTTGGTTGTGACTGTTCTCTATTTTGTTTGAAGTAATTCAAATTTTAGCTTTAAACATCACACACACTGAACTGTATTCTACTAGTGTAGAAGTAATATCCAAGGATCAAATCTCTTTGTGGGATTAAATATTTTTATAACTATCTCTTTTATGTCCTTAAGGTGAACCAAATTATAGTCTTAATATGCCAAATAGGACCCAAGATACCTCAAGTACATTGTGAAAGGAATATATTTGCTGAGGACAGCAGAGGAGAAAGAGAAAGAATCATTTCTAAATAAAATGCTGACTTCTGAGTTATCTGCATTAAGGTAATTTTAAAAAAAATGGATGTTTATTAGTGTTATGAATTCTGTTTCTAGTTATGAATTTAACTATTGGGATCTATTTCTTTTATTAGTAGGTATATTACACAGTGCTTTTTTATTGAAGAGGACATGATTCAGAGGGTTTAAATTCAATTATTTTTCAGGTAAATAAGCCTACTTAGACCAGATTACTTTAAAATCTTTTAAGTAATCATAAGGAAAGAACTAGGTTTCATGTTTTCATGTAACTTAACTTTCTCAAACAGTATAAGAGATTTATCCTCTTCTATCACTTGTAATAAAGACTGGAAACAAAGTAATTTAAACACTCAAAGAAGAAGAAAAACATAACAAGAAATCAAAACAATTTAAGATTTGATGGACGGTCAGGAGAGCTGGATTCTGGTCAAGACTGTAGGAATGCACTGCAGTGCAACCTAAGCTTTGTCATTTCTGTGGGTTTCCATTCCTCAGCAGAAAGACATTCAAGCTTGGCGACTTTAAAGATCCCTTATACCTGAAGGATCTATGATTCTATTAATAAATGTCTGTCTAACATATTACCCTCCTTTAGATTTAGGGCCTTCCAATTTCTGCATATAATGACTTCAAGGATATTCAAATATTTTCCATAAAACTCAATCATCAAAGAGGCCATCCTTGATAGCCAGGAGAGGGAGAAGCATATGGTGCATCCCATCCCTTGAGCCGAGGTGTGTCACCATTAGAAGGGCACAATTTGCCTTGGTATTGGTGGTTTCATCACCAGAGAGCTAAATCAGTCTCAGTGTGTGAATGTCTGTACATGTATGTAAATTTCTATCTTACTGACAAACTGGTTGGCAACACATGTACTATAAAACTAACAGAACATTATAATTCTATTAAAATTATAGAATTTTAATAGACAGCTGCCCTGTCCCCAGCTGGCAGCACCACAGTGAGTTTGGCAGACGACTTGGCCACCCCTGATTCTGATGTGTTTGGTACCAAACACATTGCAAAGCGTTGGATTTCAAGGCTGTGGGAAGGATAATTTACAGGCTCCCAGGCACTTGTTCACATCTGTACTCATCAGCAAGTGTCTCTAAAACCTGGACAAGTACAACATTAAATAATAAATAAAAACAGCAAATATAAAAACCACCTCGACAGATCCAGAAGAGAGAGAGACTACAGAAGAAAGAATGAAGTTTTAATTTGAGTAACTTTAATTGTACTTTCCCCCCTACTTTTTGAATAAAGTCATCCCATTTTCATTTAGCACTGGGCCTGTGAATGATGTAGCTGGTCCTGTAATCAATAATTATTAAGCATCTGGCATATTCCAGGGACCATGATAGGTACAGGGGACCTGACAGGAGGCAAAACAGAGCACACTTTAGCCTGCAGGGAGTTTTCAATGATTTCACTTTCTTTGACCAATGGGATGTGGGTGGAAGTGTTGTGTGTCACTTCCTTATAGGCATTTTAAGAGCCAGCCCATAGCTCACCAGGTCTCTTTACCTTCTGTTGCAGTGGCTGGCAATGTTCTATATGAAAGTTGGTTCTTTAGCCTTAGATTTAGGAAGGAAGGCAACATGGAGAAAAGCTACAGCTGACATATGGCCTAAGTAAGATGGTTGTGGCAACTTGGTTGTGGCAAGTGACTGAGATAGGAGTTGTCTGTTAATGCAGCATACTACCAACAGTTGATAACCTTTCACTTGAAGAAAGGGGTCTCTGTAAAATCTTCGGAAAGGCAGGACCTATAAACACATAATATCCATCATTATATCCAGAAAACAACAATCTTTTAAATGACGCATTGGAACTCTTTTTCCTAATACTCAATTACCATTCCCTTCCACAACTCATTGCCAAATTATTGACCCTTCAATTAATATGTATTTAGTTTGACTTACTTTTTGTCTTATCCTGTACCAGCTATTCTAAATATTAAGTTGCTTCTGAGTCACTCATATACTGCTATCAAAAAAATGAATGAATGCAATTCATTGCATTGAAAAAAATAGAGTCAGAAATAATGGAGGCATTGGGCTATTTTTGTCATTAACCAAAACACTTTAGAAATATTTATTCATTATGCTGTCTCTACTTTTTCTTCATATATTAGAAAAGTAGACCAAGAAGTAACCAAATCCACTGAATTCAAATATTAACACACAGTTCAACTTCACCAACTCATTCAACACCTATTCATTGAGACCTACTATGTGGCAGACACTGTTGTATGTCTGGCATGAATCCCCTGGTACCTAGTATAGCATCAGGCATGTACAAAGTGGTCAATAAATATTTGTTATAAAAATTGGAATCTAATGAATTCAGAATTCACTCAAACCAGCTCATAAAAACTAAAAGGTTTTTATTATGTTTTCTGGACCCATTACTTTCCTTTGTCTGAAAGGAGATGCCAAGAAAAAAGAGAGAAAAAGCCCGGACCACTGCAAGTTAGCACCTAAAAGGCAGAACATTATGAAAAGCCCGAACAACATTATAAACACATTATTCTGCAGAAGATTTAAATCTAAAGCTACATGAAACTGTATTGGTTAAGAATTACTTCTATTTCCTTTTTTTACCTGAGGGTATATCCTCAGATATTTTAGGACAGGTAAATTTTCCAAGCCATTCTAAATTTATTTAACCAGTTCATTTCTAAGGGAGGGAGTCCTCCCCAGTGGACTGAACCTCCTCCTCACCCCCTGGGTATTATCCAGTTTTGTCAACTTCACAACTCAGGCAGTAAAAAATGCACATTTGAAATAAACTATTTCATTATGTGCATTCGTACAGTTATGGAACAAAACAGCCTTTACTCAGCTTAGGCCAGTGAATCCCTCATTTAATTACAACTGGAAAGGTTAGAAACTTTTTATCATGCACACATATTCTCTGGGAATTATCTGGCTCTGAAATATAATTAATCACCCTCTGTCATGCTTTCATTATATGCAGGGCCCTCCAGAGCCACTGCTTTCTTCTTTCTTCATTCATATTCCTCTGACCTTCCTCTTCACAGACCTCAGGTGAATTTCATCGACTGCCCAGAAATGACTGGATATTGTTAAACCCATTTGTCAACCACATTATCAGTTCACAAACATGAAATCTCTGCATATGTTTAGCCTTTTCCATATATAGCAGCCCAAGTATTAACATGGAAGGCATCTGTCAATGTTGACAAAAATTAAATTTCAAAACTACTGTAAATAATAAAGCAGTCATATAAAGATTATTTCTCTGGAGCATAAGCTACTAGTAAACACAATTTGCATAGTGTGCTTACAGCTGTTTCAACATGAGATGTTTGCTGTGCTTCATTAAAATGATTTGATTTGTCAGATTCTAGGATAGTCAAAAGTCTATATAAAGAACTATATAAGGAACTTTAGTGACATTTTTGATTTTTAAAGCTAGGCACATATGGCATAGGAGGAATAAAGTGAACCGAGTAATGTATCTTTAGGAGAATTTTTAGGGTGTGAAGGTGGGGAAATACACCATTAGCTCAATTCCAAAACTATTTCCGCGCCCCAGCAAAGCCATTAACACTTTCCATGCACAACTTAATGGAGGTAGAACGGCCATTCCCAAAGCAAGCTGAGAGGACATGATGTCCTTCCACACCAACAACTGAACATGACAGAATCAAGCATGTACTTGGTAACTAAGCATGTCTCGGACAAGTTTTCTGTGGAATTGATATAATTGGAAAATTCTATAACTTTCCTCTTTTGTCCATATCCAGTCAGAAAGCATAAAATCTAATTGCTCAGTGGGACTGGAAAAGGGCATGTGAATTGGCATTCTCTCTTCCAGGAAGAGAAGAGCTAACCTTTCTTAGAAAAATGGTTGGGGCCTCTGTTTCTTCATGATTTCCACAGGAGAATATTCCATGAGCCTTTACTTATTGAAGTTCTCTTTAACAGAGAAGAAAGTCTTTATTTTGTGTCTAGTTGATGATTTTCTTAATATATTTTCTTTTTCTCTTATTCAATGTTATATAGTGATAAATATTAATATTATATATAATATTTATAAGAATATATCAATATGTGTATAAATATCTTATGACCGAAGAATAACTATGGTAAGTCAATCTTTAGCTAACTTTCTCAAACTATGGACCTGAAAATTCCTTTAAACATAATTTATGATCTTTTTCGTCCTGAAGCTCCTCCTGTTTCATTAAGATGGGGAAGCTGGGCTGAGCATCTCTCACCACAGGTTATACATGTAAAAAGAATGTTTAAGATTTCATATATAAAAGCACTTGCTAAATGCACTTACAAATAAAGCACTAGTATCAGTGAAAAGGCGACTTATTCATTGACTAGTAGCCATCACAAATCATGATATTGCGTATGTGTAGACACACAAATATGTGTACTATATAGTGATACTTTGTCAAAAAGCAATCCCATCAAAAGAAAAATTTGTCAATCATTTTTATCTTATCTAATGATGTATATTTGACAACAATCTGTGGAACATTAATAGCAGGAGAATCTGTGTGTAGGGAACTGAGGAAGTGACAGGAATGATTATGTGTTGGTGGCATGACTTTGCTGTAACTCTGTAGCAAAGTGGCAGATATTAATTCCCTTTATGAATAAGTCTCCAAATAAAGCTCAGTTCTGAACATACAATTAACTCTATGGACAGGAACAGGTGTTCCAATACGAATTTAATTTTTGAAAAAGTACACTTACCTATGCATTCACAGGTCAACTATCGCTACCTAATTGGACCAGGTGTTCAATACAAAGGGTAGTTTCCTCCTAAAGATTTTTCATAGACTACCATAGGAAAAACAACAACCAAACACTAACTGAACAAAATCCTAAAGCCTAGCCAAATAAACAAGAACGATGGGAGCCATCTTAATCCTATTCAAGGGTATACTTAGATATTTACCTTTAGGCAGAATAATGGCATGAAAATTGTTTCTTGGATTAATGTTGAAAAAAAAGGATTCCTTTTTACAGTTCTACTTATTTTTATAATCAAACATGTAAGGGATATTTGATATCTGCAGGCTAATATTCATACCCACTTCTTAAAATAAAATTAAAACACACATTTCTCCACTTCTAGCTTCTATGGAAATTGACTTTAACTCCAGGGCCTGAGAGTGAGGCAAGGGCCATCAGAATAATTCAAGTTCCAGTAATAGTGATTGATTTAGGCAAACAACACAAGTCCATCCAGTTAGGGCCAAAGAGAGTGAGGATTAGGGCTTTTATTTTCTGTACTCTTTTCAGGAGAGGTGCATACCATTGTCCAGGTGTACACTGCAGAAAGATAATACATCTGAGGGGATACAATTCATATTGATACATCTTCA
This sequence comes from Homo sapiens, assembly GCF_000001405.40. NCBI lineage: Eukaryota > Metazoa > Chordata > Mammalia > Primates > Hominidae > Homo > Homo sapiens. The sequence continues at coordinate 68,313,607 of NC_000003.12, read as the reverse complement.
TTATTTTGACTTTTTTCTTATTTTATCAGAACTTTGTCAACTCCAGCATACATGGTTTCCATATTTATTTGAACAACTTTGCGGGGGTAGATGATGCTTAAATATCTTGTTCTAAGAAAATCAGCACATTTGGACAATTTTCAAACAGATGAAAGTAAAGACTGTTCTTTTACAAGGTATATGCAGATCATTATGCTTGGACATGGGATAGACAAGTTTAAGAATCAAGACTGCACCTATCTAGCATCTAGGACGACAAAAAATAGCCCATGATTTGAAGTAAGGAGTTTAAATAGATAGGTTTTAGAATGCAAGACAATGTTACACTTTCAAAACTATTTGCTTTCAAATGTAATTGTTTACTGTTAATTTGGTATAATGTTTTAAGCAACATTAATGTTATAAGCAACATGATGAGAAATATGGTTTGGCTTTGTGTCCCCGCCCAAATCTCATCTTGTAGCTCCCATATTTCCCATGTGTTGTGGGAGGACCATGTGGGAAATGATTATTCATGGGATCAAGTCTTTCCCATTCTTTTCTCATGATAGTGTATGGGTCTCATGAGATCTGACGACTTTAAAAATCGGAGTCTCCCTGCACAAGCTCTCTTTTTTGCCTGCCACCACCCATGTAAGATATGACTTGCTCGTTTTTCTCTTCCACCATAATTGTGAGGCTTCCCCAGCCATGTGGAACTGTAAGTCAAATTAAACCTCTTTCTTTTGTAAATTACCTAGTCTCAGGTATGTCTTCATCAGCAGCATGAAAATGGACTAATACAATAAATTGTTACCATGAGTGGGGTGCTGATGAAAAGATACCTGAAAATGTGGAAGAGACTTTCAAACTGGGTAACAGGCAGAGGTTGGAACAGTTTAGAGGTTTCAGAATAAGACAGGAAAATGTGGGAAAGTTTGGAACTTCCTAGAGACTTGCTGAATGGCTTTTCCCAAAATGCTCATAGTGATATGGACAATAAAGTCCAGAATGAGGTGGTATCAGATGGAGATGAAGAACTTGTTGGGAACTGAAGTAAAGATGATTCTTCCTATGTTTTAGCAAAGAGACTAGTGACATTTTGTCCCTGAGCTAGAGATTTGTGGAACTTTGAACCTGAGAGAGATGGTTTAGGGTATCTGGTGGAAAAAATTTCTAAGCAGCAAAGCCTTCAAGAGGTGACTTGGGTGCCATTAAAGGCATTCAGATTTATAAGGAAAGCAAAGCATAAAAGTTCAGAAAATTTACAGTCTGTCAATGTGATAGAAAAGAAAATCCCATTTTCTGGGGAGAAATCCAAGCCTGCTGGAGAATTTTGCATAAGTAATGAGGAGCCAAAGGTTAATCCTCAAGACAATGAGAAAAATGTCTCCAGGGCAGCCCCTCCTATCACAGGCCCGAAGGCCTAGGAGGAAAAAGTGGTTCTGGTGGGCTGGGCCCAGGATCCCCGTGCTGTGTGCAGCCTAGGGACTTGATGCCGTGCATCACAGCTGCTCCAGCCATGGCTGAAAGGGGTCAACGTAGAACTCAGGTCATGGCTTCAGAGGGTGGAAGCTGCAAGCCTTGGCAGCTTCCACACGGTGTTGAGCCTGTCAGGGCACAGAAGTCAATAACTGGGGTTTGGGAACCTCCATCTACATTTCAGATGTATGGAAATGCCTGGATGCCTAGGCAGAAGTTTGCTGCAGGGGCATGCCCCTCATGGAGAACCTCTGCTAGGGTAGTGTGGAAGGGAAATGTAGGGTCACAGCTCCACACAGAGTCCCTAGTGGGGCACTCCTAGTGGAGCTGTGAGAAGAGGGCCACCGTCCTCCAGACCCCAGAATGGCAGATCCACCAACAGCTTGCACCCTGCACCTGAAAAACCCACAGACACTCAACAACAGTTTCTGAAAGCAGCCAGAAGGGAGGCTGTATTCTGTGAAGCCACAGGGGTGAAGCTGCCCAAGACCATGGGAACCCACCTCTTGCATCAGTGTGACCTGAATGTGAGACATGGAGTCAAAGGAGATCATTTTGGAGCTTTAAGATTTGACTGCCCTGCTGGATTTTGGATTTGTATGGGGCTTGTAGCCCCTTTGTTTTGGCCAATTTCTCCCATTTGGATGGTTGTATTTATCCAATGCCTGTACCCCCATTGTATCTAGGAAGTAACTACCTTGTTTTTGATTTTACAGGTTCATAGGTGGAAGGGAGTTGGCTTGTCTCAGATAAGACTTTGGACTATGGACTTTTGAGTAAATGCTGAAATGAATTGACACTTTCGGAGACTGTTGGGAAGGCATGATTGGTTTTGATGAAATTTGAGAGAGGCCAGGGGCAGAATGATATGGTTTGGCTCTGTGTCCCCACCCAAATCTCATCTTGTAGCTCCCATAATTCCCACGTTTTATGGGAGGGACCCAGTGGGACACGATTGAATCATGGCAGTGGGGAGTAGGTCTCTCCTGTGCTGTTCTCTTGATAGTGAATGGGTCTCATGAGATCTGACAGTTTTAAAAATGGGAGTCTCCCTGCACAAGCTCTCTTTTTGCCTGCCACCATCCATGTAAGTTGTGATTTGATCCTCCTTGCCTTCCACCATGATTGTGAGGCCTCCCCAGCCATGTGGAACTGTAAGTCCAATTAAACCTCTTTCTTTTTAAATTGCCCAGGCTCGGGTGTGTCTTTATCAGCAGCATGAAAATGGACTAATATAATAAGCAACCAAAATTTAGCATACGTAAACACTTGACAGCACTAAAAAAAAATTCTCTGAATAAAAATGAAGCAATATTTTAAAAACCACACAATTGAAACTAAATAAATTTCACTATCTTTTAGCATTAACATTGGCTTCTCCAGAATAGAAAATATTAGACTCATTTCAAATATAAACAGCATGATTATTTCAAATATAAACAGCATGATTATATTGATCATAGAAATTATCCAGAACTAAATTTTAAAATGAATTTCTTTTTTCACTATATTTATCATTAACATATATCACCTTTAAGATTCAAGTTTATGATAGTGTTTATATGAATTATAATTTGAAAAGTTGTAATGAATATGAATATGAACTACTTCAACAATATAAACTATAAATTGGAAATTTACCAAGGAATATAGTCATGTGATACTGGGGGAACATCAGGAACATGAGGAACTAAAACTTATACATAGTTTTCTTAGATTTAGAACATCTCTTGTTGAAGTACTGAAATATTCATGGCAATAATTCACCAGAAAAAATTACAAACACTTTTATTTAAAAATATTTAGGGTATACTTGACTTAGCTGATACTGGTAATTGAGAAGCCGAGACCTTTGCTTCTAAAAATTAAACAAAAACTACTTAAGATCTCCATTCCTACTAGAAAAAGTGGTGAAGTCTATGGTTTGGTTATTGGTACAAGTAAGCTTTTAAAGTATCATAATTTGTTTTCCTGAAAAAAAGACATGAAATTTTTACGTAACATCTAATATGAGTGTACTTGAATCTTAAAAATTTACATATTCTACTATATTACTTCTAACAGTATGATTTGTATAATTTTGTAGAGTAGCTTATATAAGTTTCAATAATTATTGATAAATTAATCATAAACTAACTTTGGAAATTTCCTCGAGAAAGGGTTACCTTTTGCAATTTGCACAAAAGTGCCATGTGGGCTGGCAGTAGTCTTTACTACTGGGGAAGCAAACTTCCTCCTTCCCACTGACATAAAGGAATATATAATCCCTGCAGCTGCTAGAACTAACATCCTGCCATATTAACACCAAGGAAGTGAAGTATGAAAATCAAGAGAGAACCTGGGTTCTGGTGACATGATTTGAGGACCATGTTGAGCCCCCTTTGAAGCCATCCTTCCCATCTGTTCAACTCTGTGGGCCAATACATTTACTTATTTTATATTTTTGCTCAAGTAAGTTTAGGTGGCAGCTTCTGCCACTGCCAACAAAATCCTAAATGATACAAATCCTGAGAAAATTATTCATGCACAAATAGCTATTTCCAACATCCAAATAGAAAAGTGCTAGTAGGTAAATCTGTATTTGGGTCTCTCAGTGTAAATATTCTGGGCTTCTTCCAATATTTGTGCCCAATGTCTAATTACATGGCTTTGTAATAGGATAGACATGGGTTAAATTTTCTCTTGGCTATTTATTAGTGCTGTGGTACAAAGTTCGTGTTAGTATTAAATGAGGTAAGAGGTATAATACCTTGATTATTGTAGGTGTTCAGTAAGTGACAATAATTATTATAGCTTATTTCTTCCTTATCCCTTCAAGGTACTAGATATCTTTGGGCATATTATAATTGATTATTATTTCACTTTTGTATTTTATAATTCATTATTGTATTCAGAAAATATGTCTTGGACACCTATCGTATGCTTTGTATGTTCTAGACTAAGGATCCAGTGGTAAACAGAATAGACAAATATTTCACTTTTACAGAGCTTTCAGGGTTGTGGGATTCAGAGTACCAGGGGTAAGGTAAACCTTGAATTAGGAAGACTTTTGAGCTCAGATATAAGTGATGAGGAAGAATTAGCAATGTGCAGATCTGTGATGAGAGCATTCCAGATCAAGGGTAAGGTTTCTGAAGCAGGAACCAGCTTGGCTTCTAGGGATGTGAAGCAACTGGTATAACGGTAACATACTGGAGAAGCAAGGTGATAAAGATTGGAGCAGTAGGAAGGAAGAAGATCATTCAAGCTGTGTAGGCTAGAATATTAAATTAAGATACTATTCCAGTGAAACCAAAGCTTTCCAACTACCTGCTACTTTTAGGTGAGTGAGTGAGTGTGTGTGTGTTTGTGTGTATGAGATGGGACAAGCTATTCACCACTTTGTAATAGCATCTCTTTCTCTGTGTCATTAATAAGCATATGATCAAAATAAATGAGCATTATATTCCTGATGAAATCATTTGATGAGAATGACAAATTTTCCATGCAAGTGTAAAGGAGGAGGATGATGAAAACAACCTCATTATTGTTGACTATAAAGTGCATTATGTAGTTTTACATGAACAAAGTAGTAAATAAGAAGCCTTTTTTTTGTGGCTCCAGTGGTGCAATTGGTTAGCATGTGGTACTTATAAGAAGCTTTTGTCCCTCTGAATTGTTTGTTATAAAGGCATCAACTTACTAAGCCATCTATTCTGGGTAATAGACCTGTACAAGAGATAGCAAATTCACTAAGACAGGTAACAGGTAGTATAGGGAAGAAATAGTAGTAGCAAAAGTGTTTCTAATTTATTATAAAATGAATACAAATAACTTTTAATAAAACTAAAATGAAAGAGCAATAGCTTACAGTATGACCACTCCAGGGGTGATAGCATTTTAATGAAGACAGAATGCAACAGATAAAGTGAAATTTTGGATGTCAAGCAGTGTATATAAGACAATTACCTTCAGTATAAAGCCTTCTGGGGTCCTCTGAATTCATACAATATTATTGGCTTATAAATCATAGGTTTTTAGCACATGAATGCTCCATCATTTTGAGGCTCCTTTTCAAATTAGGAAGTAAAATTTTCATTATGTCACCCGATTTATTACTATGCTTGGCATTTTGGGGAGTGATTACACATATTTATTCAACACTTGGCAATAGTAAAAATGAGCATTTTTGTCTTAAAAATATATAATAATTTCAGAACACTTAAGAAGGCTTAAACAGTCATATTAGAAACCAGTGAGGTAACAAGGGCAGTTATGAGTCTCTTGCACACTGATTAGCCATTTCTTATGCATCTTTACATATAACTAATCCTGACCTCAGCTCACCTTCTCACATGGAGCTCACCCCTTATGTCTTTCTAGTTCTTGGAACCCACCTTCTCATGAATACTTAAACTCTCCAGATGAAACTAATATGCTAAATCAAGAAAGGAGTCTAGAGAACTTTAAATCTCCAGTTTTTTCAAGTGCCTTGCCCTGTGCAGCTAAACGAAAGTAACAATCACATAGTAGAGATAAAATATAAATATTGTTTCCAAAAAAAAGTAGAGGCAAATCTTTAATAAAACCACAAATAAGAACTGGACAAAGCCATATATACAGTAAGTTTGAAAAAATTAACATGTCATATTATTCATGTATGTAGTTAAGTGTTACTGCTGAATGTAGATGTTACTGATCCAAATATCAGATGGCTGGATGTGTAGAATTTGGAGCTAGTCTGTATTTATATACCTGGTGATTACTTTACCTATAAGACCACTCTAGACCAGCAATGGGATGCTAGAAAAAATATATTTGAACTATCTCTTTCTCATTTTGAATCCCAAGATTGAGCAAATAATTCTTATTTAAGTTAATAAAATAATTTCCAACTTTCGAAAAATGAGGTACAAATAAACACTCTAAGTAACTTTTTTCATCATTGTATTATAAAATGGACTTTGGTCTTAGAAAATGTGTAATGAGAAATAATAGCTAAATTTAGTGATGCTGATTAGGCACACTGCTATGGGCTAGGGCAATGTATTAAATTCTTAACATACATTATCCCAACAATACTATCATTATTCACACCTTATTGATGAAAAAACAGAAGCTAATGGTAGTTACATGGATTTCCAGAGTCATATGGTGGATCTGATATTTGACTAGTCCTTGCTGGAGTCAAAGATCATGTTCAAAAACACTACAGGTTTTGATGTTTTGAAATTTTAGTAAAAGTTTATAGAAAAGAAATGTAGGTATTTGTCAGAAAGTCATTAGAAATATGAGAATTAAGCTATAATTGGTCTCAGGGGAAACATGGTATGAGGCTGTTACAGGAATGTGGACACTTTAGAGAAAGATCCACCCCTGCTCCTGTGTAGGGGAGATTCAGCACCATGGATAGCAACCTAGGTGGCTTACCCACAGGAGACCACATCTCAGTCCAAAGACCCAGAGACAAATGACTGTAGTTGGGACAGATTTTTACATAATGTAGTTCCAGAGACCAGCTTTAGCTCCTCGGAGATCCAGATCCATCCAGGAGGTGGAGGCGGAGGGGACACTCAACAAATTTGTATAAGACCAAATTGAAACTGTTCAGTCAAAATCTATTTTTGACAGCATGTAAATTTAAACATACACACACACACACAAGCACAACTGTATATGTGAGTTTAAAAAGAATATTTCTGAATATGTGAAAACTAAACTCAGACAAACCCTCTAGGGTAGCATGCAAGCCTTAGATGTTTCAAAGTTAATAACAGCCTGATAATTACTGTCACTTAATTAAATTTTTGCAAGGTCAAACCCAAAGAGAGACGTGTTATTTCCCCTTAGGCACTAATCCCACTGGAAAAAAATCCCACCCAATAAAGAGGAGGTACAAAGCTATAATGTAATAAAAGTTTAAAGAAATACAACTACCTGGGTAAAGACCATGAAGGTCACACACTAGACAATTATCAGGTAGCATTTAACCAACTCTAGTATTCTCCTAACACCTGATCTTCCTTTTGGAATCTGAAGCTCCCTTGTTTGTATTTTCTCTGCAATAACAGTTTCAAATATCTAGCCCTTGCATGAAGTCACGGTTTTGTATTTTTTTTCCTCCTCTGTCTTTTCAATCACCAAAGGGTATTCATTAGTAACTTACTCCAATTCACTGTTTTTCAAACATTTTAAATCTATGCCTCACCATACAAAGTATTATTCTAGGTGCTGTATTTGCTCATTTAATACTTACAGCTGCCTTGTAGTGTTATCATGTCCATTTTACATGAAGAAAATGAGGTGTGGAGTCACCAAATAATGTGCCACAGTTCACATAGCTAGAAGTGGTGGAGCAGGGTGTGAACCAGCCTTTTGGCTCTTGAGTTTTTGTCCTTAACAACTTCACTGATGCCTCTCAATATTCCTATTACATATCCTCTTCCCTTGGTGATACTTGAAAACCCACTAGAGGTATAAGGCACTTTCTTTCCATCCCCTGACCCCCACCCCACTGGAGAATCTTTTAATTATTTACTCTAGCTAGGAAATTTACTAGTGTATCCCTATAATTCCCAGAGATCTAAAGAGATCTAAAATGATTACTACTCTAGAAAATTATGTTTCAAGGAATTCTCCCTTACCCTAAGCCTTTATAGGTTGAATTGTGTCTCCCCAAAAGATAAATTGAAGTCCTAACCCCTTCTACCTATATATATATATATATATATATATATATATATATATATATATATATAGTCATATAGTCATATATAGTCATATATATATAGCCATTTATATATAGTCATATATTATATATTACTTTACTTGGAAATAGTGTTATTAAAAATATAATTGCATTAAGATGAGGTCATTAGGGTGAGCTGTAATCCAATATGACTGGTGGCTATGTAACAAGAAAACATCGGGGGAAAAAAAACATATGGGAAAAACACCATGTGACAACAGAGTGAGAAACTAGAGTTATGCACCTGAAAGACAAGGAATAATGAGGATTGGTGAAGCTAGAAAGAGACAAGGAAGGATGCTACCCAGAGACACTGCAGACACATTGATTTTAGACTTCCAGCTTCTAGAACTTAAGGAAAGTAGATTTTTGTTGTGCTAAGCCACCCAATCTGTGGTACTTAGTTTTGGCCATCCTAGGGAACTAATACATTATTTCATATTCTATTTTTACTGCAGTTTGCAGGAGGAGAGGTAAAATGGAGCTATCCTGATAAAAACAGCTACTATGTGGTCTACTGGGGTGACCTTTTGCCTGGCCCACTAAAACACACACGAAAAATGAAAACACCCAACTAAACAACTATATAAACCTTCCTTGGACAACATTTTCCGTGATAACTTCACTTTTACTTCCTCTTACCAACTGACCAAATAATTAACTAGCATTAAAAAGAATTTTATTTGCTTATTTCTCCATTTTAAAACTCTGACCTTGCCAAATCACTCTTTAGCTTCTCTAAGTAATTAAGTATTTTTCTATTATATTTCAGTGGCTGTTTGAACATAATAGTCTGAAACAATGGTAAAGAATTTATCTCATTTCCTAGGTACCATAGGAATGGCTATCACTTATTAGTACAACTTCCAGGAATAAAATAACATCTGCAAACTTTTTGAGCATCTCAATATCCCAAGATGGGAGGTGGGCATAGAACATGATACAGATTCAAATCACACCCCTCATTCAGATTATTTAGAAAAATCTTCCATACTGAAAAATATAGCCATACTAGAAAGGTAAAATTATAGCCAGAAAGACCTTTTGCTAGGTTCAAATATAAAGAAAACTTTACAAAGAAGATTTCTCACTGTACTTACTTTACAAATTTGTTTGTATTAACCTGGGCTTTAACAAATAAAACCTTCTAGTATTTTGAATTTTGGATGATTTCTTCTGTATGCAACCTTCTCCTTTACATTTTTTCATATCAAGTATATATCATTTAAATCACACAGCTATTGTGTATTTTCTATTTTAATATGCAACAGGATGAAAATATGGTTAGAATACTTTCACATGCTTTTAGACACCTTCATTTTCCCACATTTAAATATCCAATTTCAGATTTCTATCATTTTCAAATAGCTCTGCCTTACTCTTTGTGGATAAAACTATTACTACACTTCAATTTCCACTAATGTAATGTCTACTTTTGTTAAGCAAGCACTGTATGGTGGGTGCAGTACTAATATTTGAAATTCTAGTGAGTATATTTCCAGTGTAACACAAGTAAATAAAAAGCTTTTATTTTTCTCTTAATTTTTTTTTGATAAGGAAAAGGGCTGCGGTTTCCTGGCTGCTTTTCGAATACATGTCAGCAAATCAGTGGCTTCCTTTAATAAATTTGCCTCTTTGTGACATATTTTTAATCCTTCTAAAAAGTTTTCAGGCCGGGCACGGTGGTTCACGCCTGTAATCCCAGCACTTTGGGAGGCAAAGGCGGGCGGATCACGAGGTCAGGAGATCAAGACCATCCCGGCTAACACAGTGAAACCCCGTCTCTACTAAAAATACAAAAAAATTAGCTGGACGTGGTGGTGGGCGCCTGTAGTTTCAGCTACTCGGGAGGCTGAGAGGCTGAGGCGGGAGAATGGCGTGAACCTGGCAGGCAGAGCTTGCAGTGAGCTGAGATCACGCTACTGCACTCCAGCCTGGGTGACAGAGTGACACTCTGTCTCAAAAAAAAACAAAAAGAATTTTCATAACAAGGACAATTGGGCCAAAAATCATTGTTTTGTTTCCTCTTTAGGCAGAGTAAATGGCTAATTTTTGAAGTGTTATGTTATGGTCAACCAAAAGCTCCTCCTTTGTAAAATCTGCCTTTATCACTATCCCATCATTTGGAAGGATCTTTATTATATCTATAAATTCGATTAAAAGCAATGTGGTTCTAGAAGCCTCCTGCTAGAAGACAAATGTTTGTCCTTGACAGGGTAACATGGAAATCTGGAAATATTTATCTGTGTAGCTTTTTATACAGTAAAAGTACTTTCATTCATGACATCTCATTGATTTCTCACAATAATGCTGATAATAGAAGTGGGTCATATTTATTGAGCATTTTTTATGTACCAGGCACCTTGACATATACTTCTTTGAAAAAAATATGTAGTCATCACAACAATCCTATGAGGTAGATTACTAATATTTTTCCCATTTTAAAAATGAGAAAACTGAGACGCAGAGGTTCAAGTTGGCTAAGGTCACACATGGACAGTTAGTAGTAGAACTTGGATAGAACTTAGGTGTTTTGGCTCTAGAACCCTTATTTTGAACTTTATTTTATAATTAGCCCCATTTTATCAATGCATAAACTGAGGCTTAGGGAAAATGATTTCCTTGCTGGTTTGTATAGTTAGCAAATGTCCAAGTGGGGATGAGCATTCCAGTCTCCCATACTTCTGGCCAGGAGGTATTTCCTGTAGGAGAGACTGCTTCCTGTGTCCCAGTCATCCAGAGGTATTTAGTTAGCACCTTCGATACCAGACATTGTCTTAGATGCTGAGGATACAACAATGGAAAAGACAAGTACTCCATTCTCTTGGAACTTTTATGAATAAGAGAACAAAGATTCAAAATTAAAAAAAAAAAGAAAGATTAACAAGAAAAGAAAAGGGCAATGGACAAATAGCTGGGGGAGTTCATTGTCATTACCAGCTATTAGCATATGAACTGTTTATTTTTCAGAGTAGCTTAGCTGTTGGAAACGTTCTGTATGAAGAGGTCATAATAAATTCGAATGAGAGAGACCAAAGGCATTCTCTGAGTGGGAAGTGCCATTCTGGACATGTGTATGGTGTTTAATACATAAGAGATGGTCAGTAAATAGTCACTGAATTTAACTGCCTTTCTCGGGAACTGTTGGAGTCTGTAAAGCAGTTAGAGGTCACTGGACTGGCCTGGAAATAAACACCTCTCTATCTCTAGTAGTTTTATTTAATGAATTAAGATTTAATGTAATTATTACTTTGGCCTTTCAAATTCCAACTACAAATATTTCTCTCTTCCTAAATTAGGGCAAAAGAAAACACCTGATCTTCTGTAGTGATCATTTTATCAAATACTTATATAATATTTCATCATTTTATCAAAAGCTAAAATAACATGATATAAAAATGAGTAATTAATACAAAAGAACTAGGATAAAATGAACTAAGACTAAAAAGCTGAATAAATCTACCAATGAACTACGAATACAAATATAAATAAACTAAGAACATAAAACTGAATAAACTTACCAAAACAAAATATATTCCCAAAATATGTACATTCAATCAATGCTATCATTCTGAAACACAATCTTTCAACTTGGTCTAGACAGTGAAATGATGTTCTTTCTTGCTTTCCCACATAAGCACCAGTTGTCAGTCATCTGACCGACTTCTGACAGTTTTTAGAGTATTGGCTGAGTCTCCAATGCTAGTTTTTAACTCAGTTATGACCTCATTATCTTAAATAGTTCAGATGCTCTTCTGTTTGACTTAAAAAAAAATCCATCTTTTCAGTGCAGAGAGATGTACTTTCTGCTTTTAGCTCTGCTTTACTTTTCCCAGTTCCAGACAGGGGGCCACTTTACTCCTCACCATCTGGTAAACTTGCCAGAGTTTACTGTCCACATTTGGACACCTTCTTTTGAGCTTTACTGAGACTCTTGTTTTGTGAGACATATTGTATCTTGAGTTTCTAAGTTTAAAAAACCACTCAAAGATTGCTCAAGCAAGTTAAAGGTGCAGGGTTTATATAACAGGATACTATGCACCTATAAAAAGAATTAGGAAGCTCATTTTGTGAGGGTATAAAATGATCTCCAACAAGATAAATGAAGATAGGTGCAGAAAAATTTATGTAGTGAGATAACTTTTACATAAGGAGGATGAAGTTTATAATACATGGTAATTTTGCTTTGTATTTTCAAGGAGAATTAATGGAAGGACAACAGAAGAAAACAGTAAAAGTGACAATGGGACAGGGAACAGTATAAATTGGGGGTGGGGTTAGGATTGAAATGTTTCATTAAATATTTTTTAAATATTGTTTTTTAAAACCATGTGAATGTATTACCTTTACTAAAGGTGCTAAATATTTTGTTTAGTGGTTACACGATTCTGTGTATGTGATAAAATTCCATAGACCTATTATATTAGTCTGTTCTCATATTGCTATTAAGAACTACCTCAGACTGGGCAATTTATAAAGGAAAGAGGTTTAATTGACTTACAATTTAGCATGGCTGGGGAGACCTCAAGAAACTTACAATCATGGTGGAAGGGGAAGCAAGGCACCTTTTTCACAAGGTGGCAGGAAGGGAAATGAATGCAGGAGGAACTAGAAAACACTTATAAAACCATCAAATCTTGTGAGAACTCACTATCTCAAGAACAGCATGGAGGAAACTGCACCCATGATTCAATTACCTCCACCTGGTCTCTCCCTTGACACGTGATGATTATGGGGATTACAATTCAAGATGAGATTTTGGGTGGAGAGGCAGCCAAACCATAGAATTCTGCCCTGGCCCCTCCCAAATCTCATGTCCTCACATTTCAAAACCAATCATGCCTTCCTAACAGTCCCCCAAAGTATAACTTCATTCCAGCATTAACCCAAAAGCCCAAGTCCAAAGCCTCATCTGAGATAAGACAAGTCTCCCTTCCACCTAGGAATCTGCAAAATCAAATGCAATTTAGTTACTTCCAAGATACAATGGGGGTAGCGGCATTGGGTAAATGTTCTTTTTCCATTTGTTCTCACATTTGGCTAATGTGAGAAATCAGCCAAAACAAAAGGGCTACAGCTTCCATGCCAGTCTGAATTACACCTGGGCAGTCATTATTAAAGTCCCCAAATGATCTCCTTTGACTCCATGTCTCACATCCAGGTCATGCTTATACAAGAGGTGGGCTCCTACAGCCTCAGGCAGCTCTGTCTCCATGGCTTTGTAGGGTAAAGTCCCCCTCCTGGCTGCTTTCATGGACTGGCATTGAGTACCTATGACTTTCCCAGGTGCATGGTGTAAGCTATCAATGGATCTACCATTCTGGGGTCTGGAGGATGGTGACCCTCTTCTCTCAGCTCCACTAGACAGTGCCCCCGTGGGGACTCTAAGTGGGGGTTCCCACCCCACATTTCCCTTCCACACTGCCTTAGCAGAGGTTCTCCATGAGGGTTCTGCCCCTGCAGCAAACTTCTCCTGGACATTTAGGTAGTTCCATACATCTTCTGAAATCTAGGCAGAGGTTTCCAAACCTCAATTCTTGACTTTTGTGTACCTACAAGCCCAACAACACAAATAAGCCACCAAGGCTTGTGACTTGCACCCTCAGAAGCAGTGGTCTGAGCTGTATATTGGCCCCTTTTAGCCACAGCTGGTATGCAGGACACCAAGTCCCAAGACTGCACAAGGCAGCAAAGCCCTAGACTTGGTCCACAGAAGTATTTTTTCCTCCTAGGCCTCCAGGCCTGTAATGGGAGGGACTTCCGTGAAGACCACTGACATGGCCTGGAGACATTTTCTCCATCGTTTTGATGATTAACATTTGGCTCCTGGTTACTTATGCAAATTTCTGCAGCCAGCTTGAATTTCTCCTCAGAAAATGGGTTTTTACTTTCTATTGCATTGTCAGGTTGCAAATTTTCCAAACTTTTACGCTCTGCTTCCCTTTTAAACGTTAGTTCCAATTCCAAACCATCTCTTTGTGAATACGTAAAACTGAGCACCCAAGTCACATCTTGAACTCTTTGCTGCTTAGAAATTTCTTCTGCTAGATACCTTAAGTCATCTCTCTCAAGTTCAAAGTTCACAGATCTCTAGAGCAGGGGCAAAATGCTGCCCTTCTCTTTGCTAAAGCATAGCTAGGGCTGTTTATCTTGTTTATTTTTCAGAGTAACTTAGCTGTCTTTTGGAAATGCTCTGTATGAAGAGGTCATAATAAAATCTAATGGGAGAGACCAAAGGCATTCTCTGAGTGGGAAGTGCCATCCTGGACATGTGGAACTTTGCTCCACTTCCCAAGAAGTTCCTCATCCCCATCTGAGACCACCTCAGCCTGGACTTCATTGCTTATATCACTATCAGCATTTTTGGTCAAAACCATTCAACAAACTCTAGGAAGTTCCAAACTTTCCCACATCTTCCTGTCTTTTGAGCCCTCCAAACTGTTCCAACCTCTCTGCCTGTTACCCAGTTCCAAAGTCACATCCACATTTTCAGGTATCTTTCTAGCACTTCCCCACTACCTAGGTACCAATTTACTGTATTAGACCATTGTCACACTGCTATAAGAAATATCTGAGACTGGGTAATTTATAAAGGAAAGAGCTTTAATTGATTCACAGTTCAGCATGGCTGGGGAGGCTTCAGGAAACTTACAATCATGGTGGAAGGCAAAGGGGAAGCAAGGGATCTTCTTCAAAAAGTGGCAGGAAGGAGAATGAATACTGGAGGAACTACCTAACACTTATAAAACCATCAGATCTTGTGAGAACTCACTATCACAAGAAGAGCACAGGGGAAAACACCCCCATGATTCAATTACCTCCACCTGGTCTCTCCCTTGACACATGGGGATTGTGAGGATTATGAGTCAAGATGAGAGTTTGGGTAGGGACACAGCTAAACCATATAAGTGTTTTTGTCCCTCCTTTTATGGATTCCACTCCCTTAGCTACAAGATTTTTTGATCACTGCTGCAAACCCTTTCAATGTCCTCCTTTTTCTGTCCCTTTCATTTCATTCTTTTGATGTCCCCTCCCCAAATGGCTTCTCAGCATGACACACACATTCACCTGTCCATGGTTATTTATAGTCTCTTCAGCCCCTACATGGACCCTCACTTCCGTAGTCCAAATCAACTAATTCAATATGTTGGATCCCTAGTTCAAACTCCTGCAAGAAATATCTAAGTGGCTCCACTAGAAGTAGTGTCCACCTCTGGCTGCTACCAAGATGGGGTGTCATTAGCTTGCCCTGTGTTCATCAGGGACTGAGGGCACAGGCTCACTGGGGAAGATGAAAGGAAGTGCAGACATTTCCTCTGCCTAATGGATGAAAAAGAACTAATGGACAGGGAAAACATCTCCAAGTGCAAGGAAACAATTTTGTCTGAGAGGGAAACACTGTTATATTACTTCTGAAGTGTTCAGAAAGTATAAATTAAATCAATTGCAAGAAAGCATTATATCACAGTAAGTTCTTATTGAGTGAAAAACAAGATAAATATAGCACTATTGGAAAATGCTAGACTTACTGAGCTTGTTGTAATAATTGATCTAATTAAGTTTCAAAATAAATAGAATATTAACTTACAAAGAAAATTTCACAAGGAGGAAAGCAAAAGAAGGAATATGAACATATAGAAATATTCTTAATACAGAAGACCCCAAAAATGTAAAAAAAAAAAATGAATGATCAGAAATCCCACTGATATCAGGAGAGGAAGATCTTGCTGTAAACTTTCCTCTTCATTAAATAATTTTCAAAAATGACCAATAATATTATCTACTTCACTGAGGTTGATAATATCTATCATTAAAAGAGGAATACACAAAACTGAATTTTGAATGCAATAGTTCCCAGACATTATTGCCCATCAGAATCACTAGCCGAATGTTTAAAAGATAACGATGGCTATGTCCCACCCTAGATCTGTGGAGTCAGAATCTCTAGGAATTGGGGTTGGGGGTAGCTGTGGTGTCTCTGTCATCAAATTTGTTGTAAATTTTCCCAGGGGCTCAGGGTGAAGACCCAGAATTGAGAGTGGCTATTCTGAAGACTTAGGAATGTTCCATGCTAACTGTTGGCTTCTGTAGAAAATTAAAGATAGGCTAGTGATGCTTTAATGCTTTAAGTAGTCCCTACAACCTTAGCCAATGAAGAGAAATACCCTAATCAAATGGGTACTTACTTTGGTTTCACTTAGAATAAAGATCACCATTGGTGACAGGGTCTACTGTGTTTTGCAAGGTCTGATACCCTACTACCCCTTCAGCGTCATCTTGTGTTATATACCTGCTTATTTTCTAATCTCCAGCTACCTGGGCTTGCTCTGACCTCCTTGAATGTCCTATTTTACCTTCTACCTCAGGGTTTCAGAACAATGCTGTTCCATCTACCTGCAAGATCCACCCTTCTTCTCTCCTATGGGCTGGTTAACACTCTTTCATATTTTGGGTTTCAGTTCAATTATAGAAGCCTCTGTGACATCTCCAATTAGGCCACTTTCCCCAAACACTCCAGCATCATTTTTCCCACCTTTATGTGCTATTTACTACTGTTAATTTTTCCATTAGGTTATTTGATGAACAGGTCTCCCCAGTGATAACAAGCTCGTTAAGGGTAGCAGCCATGTCTGTATCTTTTCACCATTGTAACCCAAGCACCTAGCACAGTGTCTGCACATGGTACACTTTCAATAATTATTACGTATATTAATATAAGGGCACACAAGTGGGCAGCTTGTATGTTGAAACAGGAAGTGTATCCATAGAGACTAGTCACTTCAAGAGAGACCTAAAAGCCAGTTTGTTAAGGGCCTATGCAGGAGATATTATCTTTTTTTTTTTTGAGTAAGTATCTTTTTGAGCCCCTAAAAATCACTTGATACCTTGTATTATTTTTAAGGATAATCTAAATATATTAAGTTGATTCTATCTTTCTGTGGCTGCTTAGCATGAAAACACCTAGATGAATTTGTATCATATTCCAAGGGTATGTTTAGGATTATGTGATCTAAATAGAGATTTCAAGGGATATGTGACAGAAATTCATTTAAGGGGCTCTTGGGAACAATTCAACCAAACAGGCAGTAATTCTCCTGAGAGGCTAAAACTGAAATTCAACAGGATACCATGTGGACAGACAAGTCACATGTTTTAAAAGGCTGTAGATAAAAACAACAATATGGATGTCAAATATGAACCGAAACAAAAAGTCACGAGGGTAGGCGGTCCAGATTGCTGGTGTTGACTTTGGTAAAGTTGTAGCTCACATAGGCAATTCTCTAGAGCAAGGATCCCTGATGAGAAGTAGCTATGATTTATTGGTTTGTCTATATTAATTCTCATGTATAATAATGGTGCTCATTTTCCAAAGAAGATTAACTTTATCTGTTGTCGACAGAGAATCAAAGCTCTTTATCTTATATAACATGATTTTGTTTTCATCTACACTGATTTTTATTTCAAAAATAATACATATCTTTCTGTTCAAAACTGAAACATAGCTGGTCTCAGCTACTCAGAAGGCTCATGCTTATAATGCCAGGAATACAGGAGGCCAAGGAGAGAGGATCACTTGAGGCCAGGAGTTAGAGACTAGCCTGGGCAACATAGCAAGACCCTGTCTCTACAAAAAATAGAAAGAAAATTAGCCAGGCATACTGGCACATGCTTGTAATCCTGGTTACTTGGGAGGCTTAGGCAGAAGGATTGTTTGTGCCTAGGAGTTTGAGGCTGCAGTGAGTTATGACGACATCACTGTACTCCAGCCTGGGTGACAGAGAAAGACCCTGTCTCAAAAAAGAAAATAAAACAAAACTGAAACACCAGTGAAGTCAATGAAGCAAAACAAGTCTCTCTCCTTTCCTTCTTTCTCTGTGAGGGTAAATAGGCTTGAGAATTTTGTGTGTTTCTTTTCCAAATGCACACACACACAGACACACAGCACTAAGACTGTGTTGTCAATTAAACTTTTTAAATAGACTTAAAAAGTCTTTTTTTTTTAACTGAAAAAATAGGTCTTAGAACTTAGAGTCAAGATAAAAGCACTGATTTTCCTAACAAAGTATGAAAAAGAATTGCTTTAAAAAGCTACCAACCCACTGCATCCTAACTTTAGGATTTATAATCATCATTGGCAATACTTAAAGGAGATGATTTCCTTCTGCCTCCACAAATGTCGTGGAATCTGATTCAAAATCCCTAAATAATTAACTCTCTCCATATTATTAAATTTAAAATACCTTATGTTTACATTTCATTTTACAGTTCTCTGGGCCCTTTCCCTTCACATTATCTCATTCAACTGTTAGGGCTCAGGAGGTTGAGCGAAGGGGACAAAACTGAGGCTTAGAGAACATAGTGAATTGTGCAAAGACAGAGAGCAAATGGGAGAAGCAAGTTCACACCTAGAGCTTCTGACTCTAAATTCAGATTCTTCCCTGTGAACCGGTGCTGCCTAATATAACCATTGGCCATTTGTGGCTACTGTACACATGAAATGTGGCTGTGTGATTCAAGAAGTAAATTTTTTCTTTTTTTAATTGAGACACGATCTCTCTCTGTTGCCCAGGCTGGAGTGAAGTGGCACGATCATGGCTCACTGCAGCCTCAACCTCCCAGGCTCAAACGATCCACCCACCTCAGCCTCCCAAGTAGCTGAGACCACAGGTGTGTGCCACCATGCCCAGCTAATTTTATTTTGTAGAGGTGGGCTTTCATCATGCCCAGGCTGGTCTCGAACTCCTGGGCTCAAGTCATTTGCCCATCTCAGCCTCCCAAAGTGCTGAGATTATAGATGTGAGCCACCATGCCTGGCCCAGGAGCTGAATTTTTAATCTTATTTAAATGTAAATTGAAAAATGGAAATAGTATAAAACATTTTTTTCTCTAAATGTGACTTAATCGTTTTGGCAGAACTGCATTTTACTTTTACTGTTGAACGTTTATTGTCAGAATATAGATACACTGAAAGTGTCATAGATACATTGGATTTGAAGAGTTGGTATAAAATTAAAAATACAAAATATCCCATTAATAAATTTTTCCACCAATTACATGTTAAAATGATATTGGGGATATATTTGGTTAGATAAAATACATTATTGCAAGTAATTTCACTTTTTTTTACTTTTTAAAATGTGGCTACATGAAAATTTAAAGTAACATATGTGGCTTGCATTTTACTTATATTGGGCAGTGTTGTTCGGAATTACACTGTCCTTTCGATTCCTTGACCAATGGAAGAATTGTGCATAGAAAATTAAATTTTGAATTATTGTTGTTGTTTATTACATAATTTGACAGTGAAGAATATTATAAAATATTCCCTAAAATAAAGAAGGACTCAAGAAAACATCAAATCAGAGGCAATTTTAACTGCTGAGAGTATGTTTTAGTAATGTTCCTCTGAGTGCATTTCACAGCAAATGAACAAAAAATCCTAAATCTTAATCAATAGCTTTGCAGAGACATTCTCTGCACTTTGATCAAGTTCTGCTTCTTTGTGTTTTTTGACAAGGTTCTCTTTTCTCCCTGACCTCTTTCACAAGAGGGATAGACGGAGCAGTCCCTCAGTGGGCCTCAAAATGAAATCAAAAGGGCCTTTCTCACCACAGTTCTCGACCTGGAAATTGCTCTTCAATTTCCCCCAAAGGTCTCCAAAGACCAGCTTCTTTGCCCTGACTTCTGTTTCTGCTGAAAAACCTAAGATATTAAATACAAATGCGTTATGAAGAGAACAATAGCTCGCATTGATCAAGCACATGTGCCAGGCACCATGCTAAGTCCTGATCTATGCAATATCTCATTAATTCTTACAGAGACCCAAGGATGCAGATGCTACTATTAATCACAGGACTGGTTATACAGTTTGCCTATGATCATATATCTAGAAAGAAGTGACAATAGGGTTTGAGTCCTTGTTTATTTGATCCTGAGTACACACTCTTAATTAACCATTACACTTAATTCAGTCCCCAAGATAACTGATGGGGTTGATCTACAACAGGGATTTTTTTTTCTATTTTTATTTTACTTTAAGTTCTGGGATACATGTCCAGAATGTGCAGTTTTATTACAGAGGTAATGTGCCATGGTGGTTTGCTGCACCTATCAACCCATCATCTAGAGAGATTCTTAATCTGAGGTCCATGGGTGAATGTCAGAAAGCATGTGAAGATCCTGATGCTATTTCAACATGCTGCCAGCATATGATTATTTTTCCCTGGGGAGAGGATCTATACTTTCATTATACTATTAAAGCATCTCATCAACTATGAAGGGTTAGACACCTTTGGTTTACAGAGGTAAATCTCCCAGTGAACTTTTCAGCTAGAAGGTTGTAGCTGTTAGTACAAACCTAAGGCATTTTTTTTTTAAAGTCATCCTTTTATACTAACAGTCTAAAAAAGGTACAGGATTGAATACGTAGCTTTTGAGAATTCATGAGAGAATATAAGGGAAGCAATCAATGAAATGCCTCTTAATCTAACCTGTGGATAAGAATAAGGAAGTGATTGTTTTTGTTTGTTTGTTTGTTTGTTTTTCTAGTAGCTGTCACAGGATCAAAATGAAAAGAGGCCAGATACAGTGGCTCACACCTGTAATCCCAGCATTTTGGGAGGCCAAGACAGGAGGATCCTTGGAAGCCAGAATTTCTAGACCAGCTTGGGCAACATAGCGAGACCCTGTCTACCAAAAAGTTAAAACAAAACAAAACAAAACAATTAGCCAGGTGTGGTGGCATAGCACCTGAAGTCCCACCTACTTGGAAGGTTGAGGCAGGAGGATCACTTGAGCCCAGGAATTCGAGGCTGTGGTGAGCTGTGATTGTGCCATTGCACTCCAGCTTGGGCGATAGAGTGAGACCTTGTCTTTTAAAAAGAAAAAGAAAGGAAAGAGGCAAACGATTATGAAAACACTTACATGAAACCTAAAACATATGTAAATGAAAATCTTAAAAAGTGTTTTTGTTTTTGTTTTGGGTTTTTTTTTTTGTTTTTTTTTTTTGACAGAGTCTCACTCTGTTGCTCAGGCTGGGGTGCTGTGGTGCAATCACAGCTCTCGGCAGCCTCGATCTGTCGGGCTCAAGCAATGGGAGTACGTATGGTAAATAAGTAAAAGAAGACTGAGAGGAAAAGCCATAAAGAAGATGGTCTGGGAAAAGAGGACAGATGCCTTGTCCTTCCTTAAATCTCTGGGTAGATAAGACACAGCTACTAAGAATTATATATACGTAGGTAAACTAAATGTTCTAAATATGCTTAACTGTATAGAGTAGATAACATCTAATGGAATATGTGAGGGGAAAAGCATAATTGATGTCTAGGTTGATTTTTGGCTAGGAGGGGAGATGGTGATGAGAGAGTAAACGACATGAGTGAAAACTGAAACCGTATTAGCTAAAACTGTGGTTATATATATGTTTTACTACATTGGTGTAAAATTCTCCAATTCTGGAAGCCACCTCCCAGATATTTATAAAGAAAATATCAGATGCCTTATACTGTATTATCTCCCACTAGATGATTAGATTTTAAAGACAGGACAAAGCATTTCATTTCTGTTATCCCTTGTATGGCAGGTGACCCAGGATTCTCTAAATAAGCATGCATTTATTTGGAAGGGAGTATTCAGTCTAGCATGATTTGTGGTTTTAGGGACATAAATAACATTTTGATTCAAAATACTTTGAAAATTTTTTTAACATGATCCAGATTTTTTTTTTTGTGGGGAATGAACATTCTATGTTATATTGATTCTGCACTACCTTAACGTGTGGATCGTTTTTTGGCCTTCGCTCCCTTTTTTATACAATGACTCGTTTTCACAAGATTCTGTCAACAGTAGTATGTAGAGTAGTTAAGAGTATAAGTTCTGGATGTAGACAGTCTTAGGTCAAAATCTCCCTCCACCACTTAATAGCTCTTTGGTCTTGGGTAAGTCTAGACCTAATATATTGTTGTAAATGGGATCTGCAATACTACTCACCTTGTTTTGGGGATTAACTGAGATCATTCCTGTAAAGGGTTTAACAAAGCACTGGGCATGTAAAAAAAATATGTAAATACTATAACATTATTTTCTTAAGTGCCTTCTAGATCCATCAATTGTTCACAGTTGCACTGCCAATTGTGTTTGGGCCTAGACAACATCTTACAGTCCGAGACTCTAGCTCTAAATATCTCTTATTCTATTAACGTAATAAAGGAAACTTTAATGTGAGCTGAAGTTATTTCGATTCAACACCTATATATTGAGTCCATGTTGCTGTCAGATCCAAAAATCTTCATAACTGAGGTGCATAGAACTAACATTTCTTGAATATTTTCTATGGGTCAGATCCTGTTCTAATCCTTTTACATGCATCATTTTTATTTGATGTTCACAGTGACACTAAGGCTGTTATTTTCCCCCATTCTACAGGTGAAAAAAAATAAAGCTTAGCAGAGTGAAATAAAACATGCAAGAACTTATTAAATAGAAAGTTAGATCTTGAGGAAAAAAGAGTTTTTTTTTTTTTAAGAAAAGGATTAAATCCACTTTGAGCTGAGGCTTTCAGATTTATCTATTCACAGTTGATAACAAGTAATTTCTTTTTAAAATTATTTCCCACATTCAGATCAAAGGTTATAAATTAATAGTTAAACATATTGGAGGAGTGCATTCTTTTTAAAGCAGCAATACAGATATCAATTAAGGAGAAAATTAGATATATCTTTTGACTTATGTGAAGAGAAGAGAATTGCTATAGTATTAAAGTGTTTTTAACTATAGGATAGTAAGGTAATTAGGAAGCTGTCAAAGCTTGTTATCTTGTAGCAGCTGGGGTTCAGAATATTTCTTGTTACTCCTGGTCTGAATGGGATGTGGTTAATATGCAGCTTCAGTCAACAAAGGTTCAAAGGGGACAATTTCATTATGACTCTGTAACTTCTTAATTTTCAATTATTATGACATGGGGGAACTGCCCTTGAGAAAGGGTAGTTAAAAGACATTCACTACTCATATAAAATTACAGAAATAGACAGATGTGAACAAGAATAATGATTACTGTTTGTGTATTTTAAGGGTAGTGTTTTACATGTTAACATGGTAGTAGATTGAATAATAGTTTTTCCCAAAGATTGTTCCATAGAACATTAATACTAGTATTGTGTGACGTTTGCAGGTCTTCCTTTAAGAACACTTTTATGGAAAAATAAATTTGAGAAATATTGGGTTAACTAAAGCTAAAGAAGTAACTTTTTCCTGCAGAATTTCTCAGAAACATAAGTAATATATACAGTAAATTATCAAGAGGGTTGTTACATCAAATATGCCAAATTATTTGACCAGGGAATCTTTATTTTTCCATGATACTATGAAACTAAAGTTCAACAGAATATTATCTGGGTTATATTTGTATAATGGATAAAAATCTTAATTTTAAGCATAAGAGTCAAGGCACCTGGGTGCCTAGTTCTACCGCTTACTTGCTTATTTATTACACAAGTCCATTGGTTTACTCATCCATTCATTCATTTCCACTTAAATGATTCATCTGAAATTAACCTCAGCAAACAGAATTATTCAGTTTGCTCCACAAATCTCTTGCCTGCTGAATCTTAAATAACATTACCATTACTCAACCCGTTGCTGAAATTAAGAAGCAAGGAGACACCCTTAATTTCTCTTCTTCCCTCATTCCTCATTCTATTCATCTGCAAAATTTGAAGGCTCAGTTTCTAAAACACAGATCACATCCAACTACTCATTGCCATTTCACTCAAATCCAAGCCATAATCATTTCTCACCAGGAGTAGTGCAGCAGAACATTCTAAATGTTCCTCCTGCTTCAACTTTGGTCCACAAAGCAGAGAAGAAGGTCTTTATAAAATAGCAGCTAGCCCATAAGCCTCTCCTAAGAATATTCCAGTGTCTTCCTGTGACTCTCACACTAACACCAAAATATGTTTCTGGGCAGATGTAGCTCTAATTATGAATGTAGTAATGCTTCTACAAAATAATAATGGAGACTATCTTTATGACCTTGGGATAAGGAGAGATTTTAAAATAGGACACAAAAAAACATGAACCATAGAGGAAAGAGTCGTAAGTTGGACCACATTAAAATGGAGCACTTAGAGTCAACAAAAGACACCATTAGAAGAGTGAAAGTGCAACCTATATAGTGGGCTTTTGTTAATACAAATAATGAACAGAAAATTCATATGCAACATATGTAAAGACTGTATATAAACAATTCCTATGTATTAAAAAGCAGAAACTAATAAATATGGGTTAGAGACATGAACAGGCACCTTAAAAATATACTATTTCTTCACCAGGCAGTGGTCACATACTTTGTGAAAATTCATTGAGCTGTACATTTATGATATGTGGTTTTCACTTCAATAAATGCTACAAAAATGTATGTACCCAAATACTTCAAGACATGAGCTAACCTCCTTGGAAACTGAAGTAACTTGGCCTAGTTTCAAAACTTAGTTATTTCTACAATGATCTTCACAAAGCTAGTCATTTTTATCTTTGAAAAGATAGGCATATTTCATTTTTTCTCCCTACAGGCTAGTACTAGCAGAGCATTTTTGAATAAGAATTGCATGATTATATAAAGCCCTGGCTCTCCCATATCATGAAACAGTCATTAATAAGTCATTGAATCTGCCCATACAGTAGCATTTAATACAGATGGAGTTCTCACTGTTATGTTTTGCATAAGACGAATAAACAAAGAATCAAAGAACAAGGGGTATTAATATTTTAAGTATGATATTTAATTTGGAAACAGGACAGAGAGACATTAGCATTGAAAGCAGATAGGCAAAAATGTCTGGATGAGAAATAGAGGATAGACATCATTAAAAATGTGGGCGAGGTAAGAATACAAACAAAGGGAATCTAGCCTTGCTTGACAAACAGCTGCACCAACTTGGTGCAAATGGCGACATAATCTTCCATGGGCAAATTCTCCAGGAAGCTGAGCCAATGAAACGGAAGTTTCCCAGAGTCATTCTGCATTTTATTTGGCTCATTTCGCTTTCACTGACTTCTTGGAATTCAACACAAATACAAGCCCAAGGATAGCTTTACCTTAGCAAAGCTGCTTAAAAAACTAAATGTTCTTTTTGCGCCTATGGCAATGTCAGGGATCCACGTGGGCCTGGAACCCGGCTCTGTTTTGCACTGCGGAGTGAGCAGCAGCATATGTGGGAAAGTTATTACTGCAAGGAGCAGATTTTTCTACTTCTGCTAATTCTGGATTAGAAACAGCCGTGAACTCTCAGCCATGAAAAGAGAGGGGAGATCACCCATGACCAGAGAGCAAAGTAATGAGAATTGAGAGCAAAGGAGGCTTCGGAACCCAAGGAAAGCGCTTCACTAACAGGAATTTACCATGGCTCCTGGACAGTGGCCTGTGAAAATCGATATTTAAGAAAAATTAAACAAAATGGATCTAATCATTTTAGGGTACTCAGAAAAAAATTTTCAAAAAGCCCCCCCACCCCCCAACAAAAACAAAAAGCAAAATCCTCCAGACCTGAGAAGTAAGCCTGTTGAAAGATCTAAAAATGTTCTTCAATCCAGGCAAATAAGGAGGTATAATTAGATTTCACAAATGGGCCTTGCTTCGGGGCGTCACGGACGGAAGGATAAATAGCCCTAATTGGAAGTTTATATAGTGCGCAATGCAAGCCAGGAAACATCCACTGTTAAAATAATTTCCTCAGATGTATTTTTAAAACACTTAAAATGCATACGGAAGCAACAGGAGGTACCTTTAAAGCCATTGGGAGGAGAAATGATGCAAAACTGAGGTCAGTAGGACTGAAGAGTGTGGTGAGAAGGTTCTCACAGGGTGCCAGATGCACGCTTCTGGACTTTAAGGGACAGAGAGTGGTGCTTAATGCTCCCTGTCCTGTGAAGGCAAAGAAAAAAATCTCATTGCCCCTTACGGTGATTTTCATGCACAATAACTTCAACCCCAAATGGAACTCATCTGTTCTCTCAAGGAGGAGGGTGAG
This sequence comes from Homo sapiens, assembly GCF_000001405.40. Classification (NCBI taxonomy): domain Eukaryota; kingdom Metazoa; phylum Chordata; class Mammalia; order Primates; family Hominidae; genus Homo; species Homo sapiens. The sequence continues at coordinate 68,287,393 of NC_000003.12, read as the reverse complement.
GGAGCAGCAAAGGTCAGAGCAGAACAGCTGACATTAAAACAAAGCGGCTGGACTAGGTTTTCATAGTCAGCAGGAGATGAACGAAGGGCAAAGAGCAGCCAGTTCCTCATGTAATAGGGCGATAATGGGAGTCACATTTGGGCTGCTATATTCCACTTTGGCTTGTGTCCGCTTTTCCATTACACACGCGGTTTTTCAGGAAGGTGATAATTCAATTCAGGAGTAAGGAAAAGCAAAAGGAAAGTAAATTAACTGAGGGCCGAGACTTGGCAAATAGGGTCTCCACTTGGACATGCAGAGCCCCAGGAAATATGAAAGCTGATCACTTTTAATTCTAGGCCTGAGAACTGACTGTTCTCTGGCATTTTTCTTTGTGCTGTGGCTGACTGCGGGGGCCCCACAACTGCTGTGTTTCCCTTGCTGGAAGTGCGATGAGCCTCTGTTCCAATTGTACAGCACCAAGGATGGCCCTGTTAACAGCTTGATGTCAGGGGGCCTGGCTGTCCTGTTGAGGTGGTCTCCTTTTGTTATACCAGCACAAATAATAGAGAGTTTTTCTCTCACATTTCCCGTACGGGTTTTCTCTCTTACCCTTCTAGTTAGAGTGAATACTCTGTATCTTGATTATTCTCTATTACTACAACCTTGTGCTTGTCTCCTCATATTCCTCTGGGACAGCCTCGGGAAGATGTCAGCAATGACCTCTCCATAACTCAATTCCAGTGCCTACATAGCAGGTACTCAGAAAATACTTTCTGAATGAAATTCAAGAGATGGTTTTTGCAATTCCTAACTTTCTTGGGTGTTTTTCCTCCTCTCAATTCTTCCTTATTAATCCTTCTTTGCATCCTCCGGGGTCTCTAGTTCCTTTGTCTACTCTCTGAGTGTTGAGGGTCTTGGCTTCTGCTAGCTCTTTTTGTCCATTCCAAATATTTTCCTGATCTGATTTCCTTCAAACTCAGGGCTGCAACTTCAGAGAGAGCCTGACATCTTTCTCTCCACGCTAGACTTCAGTGAGGAGCTCCTGTCTCACACAGCCAACAGTTTTCTCTTGGATAGCCCCGTGGACTAACGTAGACTCATTAACTCACCCCTCAGCTCACCTAATACTGGTCTATTTTTAAAAAAATATTTTTAATTTAAAAAATTTTTTTAAATTTGTTATGATTATTATTATTATTTTTTAGATGGAATCTTGCTCTGTCACCAGGCTGGAGTGCAGTGGTGCAATCTTGGCCCACTGCAGCATCCGCCTCCCAGGTTCAAGCGATTCTCCTGCCTCAGCCTCCCGAGTAGCTGGGACTACAGGTGCATGCCACCACGCCCAGCTAATTTTTGTATTTTTAGTAGAGACGGGATTTCACCATGTTGGCCAGGATGGTCTCAATCTCTTGACCTCGTGATCTGCCTGCCTCAGCCTCCCAAAGTGCTGGGATTATGGGCATGAGCCACTGCACCTGGCCTGGTCTACTATTTTTGTGCTGAATGTTTCAGTCTCCTAATTCATAAGTCTGGGCCGTATATTCAATGATTGGCCATTCTTGCTTCATATCTTTGCTCTCACGTTGTTGGTTGAAATATTTAATGCAAATCTCATTACTTTTATCATTTCACCCTTAGTGACAATTGCATGATCACACTCAAAAATCTTTTCACATTTAAAAAAAAGTCAGGACCCAAACGAAATCCACATAAATTGCATGTGATTGATATGTCTCAAATCATTTTTAATCTGTAACAGTTACTTCTTACTCCCCTTTCTCATGCCACATATTTGCTGAAGAAACTGGGTATTCAGAAGGTTTTTTATATAAAGTCATTAATTTTCTGTGGTACATCTTACCTTATATTAATAAATCTATTCTAGCACTATATATATAGTTGCTATATATAAATGTTGCTATGTATATACATGTTTCTATATATATATGTTGCTATATATATATGTTTTTTGAAATTTTTGAGGCATATATGCACATATAGTAAAATCTACAAATCTTAAAAGTATATCTTCATTAATTTTTACATATCTATATATAAGCACCATCCAGATCAATATTTACAACACTTACAACACTTTCACCCTCCCAGAAAGTTCCTTTATGTCCCTACAATTCATCAGGTACTCTCAGAGTAAATACTATTCTGACTTCTACCAGCATAGATTGGTTTTGCCTATTCTTGCAATTCATATCAATGGACTTATAAAGTATAACTCTTTTTGCCTTGCTTCTTTCACTCAATATAGTGTTTTGAGTTTCATCCATGATGTTGAATGCATTTGCAATTTGTTTGTTTGTTTTTTACATGCAGGATCTGGCTCTATCACCCAGGCTGGAGTGCAGCGGCACAATCATAGCTTACTACAGCCTCTAACTCCTGGGCTCAAGTGATCCTCCCACCTCAGCCTCCCTAGTAGCTAGGACTACATGCATGTGCCATTATTTTAATTATTTTAATTGTCCATGGCTAATTAAAATAAAAACTGTAGAGACAGGGTTTCACTGTGTTTTCCAGGCTGATCACAAACTGGGCTTCAGCAATCCTCCTACTTCAGCTTCCCCAGTAGCTAGGATTGCAGTAGCATACTAGAGACATATGCTAATTTAAAACAATTTTTTTTTTTTGGTAGAGATGGGGTTCTCACTATGTCGCCCAGGATAGTCTTGAACTCTTGTCCTCAAATGATCCTCTTGCCTTAGCTTCCCAAAATGCTGAGTTTACAGGTGTGAATCACCATGCCTGGCCTGCTCTTTTTTATTGCTGGGCAGTTTTCTGTTGTATGAACATAGCACAGTTCATTTCTACCCATTCTCCTATTGATGGACACTTAGGTAGTTTCCAATTTTGGCTACTGCGAAGAAAGCTGCTAAAAGCATGATTGGACAATCTTTTTGAAGATGCATGTTTAGTGAAAGAATTTCTGGGTCAGAGGAAAGATATATATTCTATTACAAATTGCCAAAAAGTTTTTTTTAACATTGTAACATTTGACATTCTCTCCAAAAATGTACAAGAGTTCCCTTGGTTCCACATTCTCATCAACACTTAATATTATCATTCTTTTATATTTTGGCCATTCTGATGGATTTGCAGTGATAGCATGTATTTTTAATTCCCAAATCCATGCAAGAAAATTAAGAATAACCCAACAACTTTCAGAAGCATTGAAACATTAGTAGGGGCCTACTATTTAAAGTGATATCTTCTGACATCAATAGAAGTTCAATTAAGGATAGTAGGGACGAAAAACACAGAAAGAGAAAGATTCCAATCTCATTTAATTCTTCTGTCTTTCAAAATAACTTGGCCAAGGTGGGTATCTACACAGATTCAATATCAAAAGCCTAATGACAACCTGGTCAGCTGCAGATAACATCATAAGGAGCAACAGGCATTCTCCATTGCAGGAAATATCAGGTCTTGGCTTCTGGTTAAAGTTGATGTATCCTTTTACTTATGGCATTTACTTAACTTGACGGGATGTGAAAACTGCACAACCATTTATCCAGGAGGATTCAACTAATCAATGAAAATTTTGCCAATTATGCAGCCATGCAATGTATAAAAGGAAGCTGAGGGCTGATAAAAACAGACACATGCTCTTAAAGGCAGGAATGATTACCCATCCCTGCTTTGTGCTGTGGGATGTGTTGTGAGGTAGGATAGCTAGGAAGGGAAGTAATGTTTGCTAGATACTTATAATATGCCAGGCATATGCTAAGACCTTTTGTGTAGATATAATTTTGAATCTAATTAAGTCCTCACAAAAATACTTCAAGGTGGGTTTTATTACTCCATTTTACTGAAAAGGAAATTTATGCTTAGAGGCATTTAGAAGCGCTCACTGCAAATGCTCAGGGCCAGGATGCACCCAGGAATGTAGTAAAGTCATGGTGTTTTATCTTACAAGAATGATGAGGAATGTATTAGATTTAGAGATATAAAAATTATGCATAAATTACTTTAAAAATCTTTTTAATTGCCCTCAAACTAGGCCATACCTGACTTGGTGTGTATAATCCAAAACAGTAATACATATGCATACTGAAGCTTGAGAAACAGCTAGTTAGACTATAAGAAAAGTCAGACTATAAGACTGAATCTCCAGTCATATGCAGATTCAGGGCTCTTGCCCCCTTTGCATTTTAACATAGTTATCAAACCTCTAGGGTGAGGAAGTATAGCAGAATGGCCTCAAGCATTCCTGCTTGTGTGCAGGGTTTACTTATTTGGTTTAAGTATTAATTCTCTATTATCATAAAGCAAATTACATCTCTTTATTGTTCTGAGAGTTTAAAAATATAGTAGATTCACAGCTTCAATGAGGAAGGTTACCTTCCAAAATCAGCCATAAAGTAAAATATTATGCAATAGGATTCCTTTGGATTCCTATTGTATTATGAATAAAACTGAGTTTCAGAGAAATTTAAGATATGTACCCCAAACCCTAGTATAATTCAGGACCAGAAAGTAATCTCAGCTCATCTGATAACAAGCTCCAAGGCCCCTTTCATGGATCAGCTGACCAACAGTTTAGCAAGAACAGATCTGGAATCAATTAACCTGGAATTTGATATACTTCAGATCATCTCATTGAAATAAAAGGTTGGGGGACTTAAACATAAAATTGCTGCATACATCAGGCTTGATTCACTAGAGAATGAAAGCCAGCAATTTCCCTCTTCACAGACAAGATGCTTTAGGATAGCCCTTCCCAGCCTTGATTTTGCTATGATACTCAGACGATGTTCTCCAAGGAGCAGAACACACTCCCTGGATTGTACCCAGGTGTGGACTCCATGAGTTTGCTCTAACTGTGCTTCCTTGTCTCACATTCAAGGGAACGCATCAGAATGCAAGGTAGTTAAAATGACATTGCCTGGGGAACCTTGAAAGCTCTTAATTTTGTATTAAGAAGTAAGTCATACACAAATGGCTGTGTTTTACTGTTACTTAGAGATTTTTTTTTTATGACACATTTACTGTCACAACTCCACAAAGTCATTGGAAGGATTATGCACAAGGATGCACAAGGTACTCAGAACAGTGCCTGATCCGTCGTAAGTGTGCAATGCCTGTTGTCCATGATCACCGTCATCAAGAATGAAAAGAGAGCAAAGTGATTGAGATGGTTGGGCTGTGTCCCCACCCAAATCTCATCTTGATTTATAGTTCCCATAATCCCCATGTGTCATGGGAGGGACCCAATGGGACGTAATTGAATCATGGTGGCAGTTACCCCCATGCTGCTGTTCTTGTAATAGTGAGTGAATTCTCATGAGATCTGATGGTTTCATAAGGGGCCTTTCTCCCTTTTGCTCAGCACTTCCTCTTGCTGCCACCTTGTGAAGAAGGACATGTTTGCTTCCCCTTCCACCATGATTGTAAGTTTCCTGAGGCCTCCCCAGCCATGCTGAACTATGGGTCAATTAAACTTCTTTCCTTTATAAATAACCCAGTCTCAGGTAAGTCTTTATTAGCAGCGTGAGAATGGACTAAAACAATGATTCCACTCTCTTCTGTGGATCAGAAATATCAATCCTTTATTATAAGGAAGTCAAAAAAGTGAATAATGGTGCCACAAATGCATCCACTCTTTTAAGTATCCCACGCAATGTAAAAACTTCCCATGGGACCAGGCGCGGTGGCTCATACCTGGAATCCCAGCACTTTGGGAGACCGAGGCAGGTGGATCACTTCAGGTCGGGAGTTTGAGACCAGCCTGAAATCTGTCTCTACTAAAAATATAAAAATTAGCTGAGCATGGTGGGGATGCGCCTGCAGTCCCGACTACTCAGGAGGCTGAAGCAGGAGAATCACTTGAACCTGGGAAGTGGAGGTTGCAGTGAGCCGAGATCGCACCACTGTACTCCAGCCTGGGCAACAGAGTGAGACTCCATCTCAAAAAAAAAAAAAAAAAAAAGGTTAATGTGGAAACTGGTGCCCAGCAAAATCAAACTATCTTAAATAACTACTCCTAGAGCTTGATATCCTACCATGCTTTCAGCAGTCCTGATTTTTAAAACACTGAAAATAAAATATTAACATGGTATAAAGATAATCTCAAAAAAAACATGGTATAGTATTTTCTTTTTGTGGAATTTTAAGTCGTTTTGTAATGTATGAGGCTGACAGTTTATATCCATTCTTCCCTTTAACCTTTTGAGACTTAATTTACTTATCTATAAAACCTCAGTTAAAAGATTTATCATGCCTATTGTACAGGGCTGTTGTAAGAATCAAAAGGAACAATGTAAATAAAAAATTAAAATGATAACTTATTGTAAAATATTTTATTAGAAATTTAATGGATTTCTTATTCCATAAGAATATTCCATAGGAATAAGAAATAAGTTGCATACCATCATAAAGAACACTATTATAAATACTGTTTATTAAATATTATCTCATTTAATTCTCTAAAACACTTTTTAAAATAGATACTGGTGTTATAATCATTAAAAAGTAGCGAGATTAGGTGTCAGAGAGGATAAGACTAATTGCCTAAGAACACAAAGTTGAGAAGAACCAAGATCTGAACTTATCTGAAGAAACTGGTTATTATCCTGAGAGTAAATGCAGTTTTATTATTGTCATGTGATTCCTATTTCTGGAACAACTTAAGCAAATTGCATCTCCATCTTTGCAATTCTCTCCAATCCCTGAAGTCCCGTGACCCAAATTTTTAGATCCATGAAAGTGATATAATTTGGGTTCTCCTTCAAATTAAAATCTTTCTAATCATCCCACTGTGCAGAAGGGGGAAAAAAAAAACAAAAGTCCACTCAATGCATGGTCAATTTCTTTAAAAGTGGAGGTAGGGTTGTTTTGTAATGATGTGAAGCCGCTGGTTTATACCATGCTTCCCTTTAACCATATGATATCCTGCCTAAAAAGCGGTCTTTACCATCTGAAAATTTTCCTAATTCACTTACCAGACTGCACTCATCAAGACATACAATGTTGAGACTGCCTAACAATGAACCACCAAACAGGGCAGAATAAATGTCACTAACTTTGTAACTTACAAAGAGAGATTGCCAGCCAGGGTTGTTAAACGGATCAATGGTATTGAAAGAATGAGTTGTGGTGAGCAGAGTATTGACCATTGAAAAGAGTGATGGACAATTATAGTCTCAGTCCAGTATCAGTGTTATAAAGGTCACTGTTGAAAGATGTCTCAGTTCCCCCTTTTAAAAGTCCTTTTATGCTTGATTACAGCTTTTTCTTCTCCATTATCCTGTTTTCTCAAGTGCTTCTTTCAGAATCTTAATGACAGTGAACAGCCCCATTCAGCAGACAGTAAATATATGACCTACACTATTAGCTTTATTAGAATTTTTACATTCTGTATAGAAATGATAATTTGGGAATACAAGAATTTGCGAATTTTGTATAGGATGAGAATTTGGGAAAATAAGAACACTATGCAAGACTCCAATCAGCATATTACTTAAAATGGAAAAATCTACAGTTGTATATCATTAAGGCTACAAATTGAAATTTCTCCAAAGTCAAGAAATGACAAAAGTTATGGTTCTCTAGGTGGCATTCATTTTCCCACTGTTATATGTACTGTGTAATGCACATGTTGTGTTATACTTACAAACCTAGCTAGTATCTGGGAACGCCACCCAAGAGCAAAGCCCATATTATGACTTAATATTACATAGAAAACTATCTCCTTGGCATTTCTATGCTTTTATGAGATTTCTATTTGAAATGGGAAATTTCCTCTTGAGCAAATGTTTTTAATTTAAGTTTCAGGAAGGAGGATACCGAGAAGGAGAGGAAACAGGTTTTCTGCCCTGACTTCCCATAGTAGTGACTATGTATTATTACATCAATCTCTTTCACCAGATTATCAGGTCTAGAGAAGTAGAATCTGTCCCTAATTCATCTCTGTATGACCCACAGTATCTAATGTAGTCATGTAAAAAGTCAGTGTCAACATTTTTATCTTGATAAGATTAATAATTAGGTGAGGGATCAGATGAATCCAAGAATGAACACCTGTGCATCATCCAAGAAGCATAAAGTAGTGGCTACCACACTTACCTGGGCTCCAAGGTTGGCAAAAGAACTGTATAAAGAATAGATTCCTGGACCCCTCCCCAAATTTCTCATGAAGGACAATTTCTCATTGCACAGACTTGAAATCTGAGTTTTAAGAAAAGTTTCTCAGTTGAATATTTTTTAGCTATCCTGGTTCTAGTCTATGTAATGATATTTAGGAAACTTTGAGGTCAAGGAAGGCCTTGGTTCTAGGTTAGACATGGCTGATTAATTTTACTTCACAACCAACTCTGCATAGTAGTGGCCACTGAGGACCTGATACTCAAATTTAGTCTATGATCCAGCAGTATCACCTGGAACTTATTAGAGAAGCTAAATATCAGGGCCAGAAGCAGACCTACTGAATGAAAATCTGCATTGGAACACAATCTCCAGTGATTCATATATACATTAAAATTTGGAAGCACTGGTCTAGAACAATGCTAACAAACCATGGTGTGTGGATAGGCAGAATCTGTGTCATCTGGCAACTTGCTAGAAATGTAGAATGGAATCTTAGTTCCCATCCCAGACCTACTGAATGCGAATCTATGGGGGTGGTGGGTGTGGGAATGTGTATTTTAACAAGCTTTCCAGGTGATTCTTAGGTATGCTGAAGTTTGAGAACCATAGGTATAAAGCACTGTGCTAAGAAAAGGTGCAAGGGGACACCTGGGCTTACAGCTAAAAGATATATTGATCAAGTAATACTATCTACCCAGGCGCAGAAGGGGAAAGTGATGGCACTATCTCTGCACTAGACAGAAAACTTGATGCATGGCTGTGAGCTTTAAGACAAATACATAGGACTTATGAGGAAATCAAAATTCTTACTAGAATAAGAAGTAAAAGATGAACAACAACCTGCCTCCCTCCAAAATAAAAAAGGGATGGTAGCAAAAATAGAAAAATGATTAAATTCTGTGCAGCTAAAACAAGTGTGGCAATATATTGGTAATTATTGAAGCTGGGTGACGGGTAGTGGGATTCTTAGTTTATATTATTTGTTCTACTTTTGAGTGTATGTGAAATTCTTTATATAAACAGTTTGGAAATAAATCCATCTGGAGACATATTATTGCCTGAAAAGTTAGGAAACATTACCAGTCTTTTAAGACTGATAATATCCATTGTCGGTGTGAATGAAGAGAGAAAGAAACTCACAGCTACTGTTGGTGAGACTGTAAATAATTACAGCCTTTTTGAAAGGCAATTGAGAGTACCCATTAGAATGTTTAAACATGCTTCACACATATTGACCTGGCAATTCTATTTCTAGCCTATCTACAGAAAAAGTCACTCATTTGTGTAAGGATACCGTATAAAGATGTACTGGGCTTTATTTGTAATAACAATAATTTTGAGAGAATCTATGTTACGATGGGACAGTTTTGTAATTGTGATTTGCTCATAGCATGGACTATTGTACAATTATTTCTAAATGACTTATGGCTAAATGTATTGACCTGAAAAGTTGTCACGATATATTGTTGAGTAGAGGAAAATGTCTATCATCCCCTTTTAATGGGGATGGAAAGATGACCTCAATGCTTTTGTGCGTATCTCTCTACACTTAGACAAGAATCTAGAAGTCTGATACTAAACCTTTAGTTGTTATTTCAGAGAAGGAGGCAAGGATTACATCTGTTTTTGGAAGGCTGTCCATCACTTTTAACTCAATGTAAGTTTGTTCTATTTTTTCTATCTTTTGCATCTTGGGGTCCATGTGAAATAGTTCCAAACAATAACATATAAATGGATGTTATTGAGAAAACTCTTAAGTTTGGAGAAAGCTCTTTTATGAGCTCAGATTCGGGGAGCACCTGCCTTTTTTTTTCCTTTGGCTTTTCCCCCTTTTCCAGTCTGGAACCTGGAGAAATACCTTAAGAAGGAGAAGCTGTTTTGCAAGCTTAGAACCAATGGTTCCATGCTTAGAAGTGGCACAATAGAAAGCCAGAAGGATCCTGAGTAATCGATAGAAGTATAAATTCAGAGCATCAGCCCTGGTTGACTCTCTTTCAAATTTCTTATGCAAATGAGATAATATCCTTAACGTTTAAGTTAATGTTTTTCAGGTTTCTTCACTGACAGCCAAACGATTGCCAGCCAAAGCATTACTGAACTATCTAGGTGTCCTGGTATGATTCTGGTATGAATAAAGGTGGAATACACATTCTAATGTATGCACTAATATATATGCAAGTAGGTTTTACATAAGGAGATAACTTATATATCTTGTTCTCATGTATTTCCAGCCTTAGCACAGTGCCTGGCACATAATTTCATGGAGGAATAAATAAATCCATGAAAGAATAATGTACATACTTATCTCTCAATTGTGGGATTATAGATGATTTTAATTTCCTCTTGTATACTTGACTATATTCTTTGAATATTTAAAATCAGAAAAAAGTTATTTTTAAAATTATTAAAACTGTATAGGAAAGCTATATGGTACAGCTTGATGAAGTGGAACTGTGTTATTCTACAGATTTTAACATATTGCATATCAAACCTTTTCCTCCTCCCTCCCTCCACAAACTATTTTAAAAATAGCATAAAATCCTGATAAAACTCAAGACAGATATTAGTCTGATCCTCCATCAGGATGATAAAGGAGGTTTACTCTACAATTATATTACATATTTATAAAGTAAAACTTAGAAGAAACTGGTTTCTTTTACATTGATGGATGTCTCATCAGAAACCATTAGAAACAATAAAATATTAAGCAACTTTGTTTTCTGCTAAGAATGCATGTACGATACACAGTATTTCAACTCAGGGGACATATTTATCATACCTCTTGGTAAAACTTTGCACACAAATCAACTGAAAACCCACTGGGTGGCACAACAACTTCTGCAACATTTTAGAAAGTGGCATGGCATTAATACTTTCATACCAGTGTTCTCAATAGGGCCATCTGGCAATGTCTGCAGACATTTTGGGTTGTCGCAAGAGGGGAATGCTACCAGTAACTATTGAGTAGCGACTAACGATGCCACTAAATAATGCTCAGGACAGCTCCCATGACCAAGAATTATTCAGCCCCAAATGCTAATAGCACTGACGTTGAGAAGCGTTGCTTTAGATAATTTTTTTCTTTTCTTGTTATTTAGTCTGCAGCTACTCTTAGAAATGGTTTGACTATTTTGTCTTCTGGGTTTTTTTTTTTAGTTGGGTTATTAAATTACCAATTGGCTGACTGAATTTCAACATTTAAATTGTTTTTTTCTAGTCTTAGAATTTTAACAGTAGATATACAGTCAGGGTATTGTAATTGTAGAGATGTTTTCATTCAATGAATATTTACTGAGAGTCTAACAGGTACTAGACAGGGCCCAGATACTAAGTTTGCAGAAATAAGTGGGAAGACATGGTCCCTATGCTCAGGTACTTACCATCTAGTGAAACAGAGAAAGCCCCTAATCCTTAGCAAACAGCAGGCTCAGTTAGGTAGTCGCATTTGGGGGCAGCATAAATAACTTTGAATTTGAACTCAAGTCCCGAGTCCAAATTCCAGTTAACCATTTCTTTCTTTCTGTGTATTAAACAAACAGCACAGTCCTGCTTCCTGATTTTTGCCCTATTTACTCTAATGCTTGAAATGCTCTTTCTTCAGATCTCTTCTCCACTAGCCCTTTTGTCCCATTCAGGTCTCCGTTCAAATGTCACCTCCTCAGAGAGGACATTCCTCATCATTATCTCCTCTAAACTTGCTCTATCCCATTTTTGTTTCATATACTTTATCTGAAATTATCTTGCATACCTGTTTAGTGTTTGATTCCCCCACAGTGATTTCTTTATGACTTATGCAAAAAAAAAAAAAAGTCCCCTAATCTTACAAGGCCTTGGATGATCTGAAGTCTGACAATGCACATGATCTTGCTTGAAGCCCCCTTTCCTTCTTTCTCCTTTCCAGCCACACTGGTTTTGCTCTGCACCTTCAAGAGAACACATTCTTTTGAAGCCTTTGGACATCTCTCCTTTATTCCTACCCCTTGGCAGTTATCTTTAAATATGACATCTTTCACTCCCCCACAAAGATTGCCCTCCATATTTCTCCCCAACATTACTTATTACATTTTAATTATTTGCTTATTTTGCTTACCTCCTCTTTTAGTCCTAGACCTATAAAGGAAGGACTCTTGCTTTCTAGTTCACTGCTATCACCCCAGTACCTGCCATAAATTCTTCGTTAGATGTGCTCAGCAAATACATATTAATATATATATATCTCAATTAACTTTATCCTGCAAACTTAAAACTAATTTTTAAAAATAAAATATAATACAACATGTAATATAACTTATCTCTTTTTTGCCTGCCTATGTCAAGAAATATGAACTTCACTGTCCCACCCAGACCATGCTTCTGTTTTGCAAATTGTATATGGTCTATGTTAATTTTGCAACAACAACAAAATGACGAAAATAATGTCCTTTGGTAATGGAATCATTTCTAGAGAAAACAGCAAAACAAGAAAGAAAGAGAAACAGAGAGAGAGAATGCACAAGCAGTCGCATCTCATTAAATTAAAGCACACATTAGACTTCTGAGTAAGGCTAATGATACACATGCTAGACAGGCAGCCCCCACCACACAGTTACATGTGGGCGGGGGCGGGGCGGGGGAACAAACACCAAAAATCCTCACTACTTTTGTGAAATCTTGATGATTTGATTTATGGGTGCTATAACTATCTAGGCTCCAAAGTCCTCCCAGTGGAAAATATTGCTTCCCACAGCAATTCAGGCAAACTCTGAAGAGTAGCCAAAGCAGGCTGTGTCTTGTCCTTGAGGATATTAGCTGCAGAACGATTTTTGCAAACCACACTGTGAAGCTCACATTGATCTGCCAGCAGTGTTTGAATCTGCAGGCAGAAATGAACTTTGGCTTTTCTTGAATGTATTGGCATCCCACACTGTTTTGCTTTTCTATTAATTTACCATTTTTCTCTGAACACTAGACAGAAAAATGTTGGATGGGGTTTGGAGAGTTTTCTCTTTTGAATCCTTCATTTAATAAAACTTTCATCATAGCTCTTTTTAATCTTTTGTCCTTCTTCATGAAAACCATCATCCTAAACAGCATAAAATGAAACTTAACATTCAGAATCTGGGTTTATGAAATTTGTAGTTTGAATTTGGAATTGGAAATTCATGCACACAACTGAATAGACTGTTTTGAAACCACCCTAAGCGTAAAACAGAAAAGATAATGCCATTTCAAGGCCAGCCAACTCCCACAGTTCTTAATAAGACTTGCACTCATTTCTTATTTCTTGGCAGGTAATCTCATATCTTTACCCTAGGGCCTGGCAAGAAAGCTGGTAAGAGCAAATCAGTGCATCAAAGCCATGTAAATTTAACAAAAGAGTTGGTCTGGCTTAGAGATTTTTAGAAATTAGAATAAAATGTTGACATACGAGTCCCTTAGAGATTGTGTTGTACCTGCTCATGTTACGGACAGTGAAACTGAGTCCTAGGGATTTAAAAAGGAATTTGGTGTCAGTCACACAGCCAGGGATAAGACTGGAATATTTCTTCCTGTGCATTATACTATTACCACCTAGTTTAGCTCACCGTTGTCTCTACCCTGGATTTCTCTGAGAAATACCTAACTGATCTTCTAGCTTCCATTCTTATATTCTCTTGTTTATTTACAGAAGCAAGAGTGGTTTCAAATCACAATTTCTATTAGTCTTAGGGAGGCAGAGTAGTAGCAAGAGCTTAAAATGTGGGCATCCATCTGCCTTCAGGTTGTTCTCTTGCTTGGCCTTTTCTTACCTTGGTAATCTTACCTGCTTAGCTTGTCAAACCCAAGCTTCCTTGTTTCTTCAATGATTTGACAAATTTACCTAAAGCATATGGGGTTATGAGGATGAAATAAGATAAAACATTTTATTTTTTAAATGTGTCCTTTGCAAGACACAAAGAGGACAATGCAAGCTCTGACAACACATTACAAGGCCACGTGTGATCTGGCCTCTTCCTTTCTCCAACTGCAACTTCTACCACTGTCCCCGACTTGCTAAAGTTTAGCCATGCTGGTCATTTAGTCTTCAAATACATCTTACCCCAGGGGCTTTGCACTTGCTTTCCCTTCTGTTTGGAGTGCTTTCCTTCTTCCCCTTCACATGGTTGAAGGCTTTTACTCATACACCTTAGCTTATAGAATCCTTTCTATATGAAAATGAGGCTGGCACCATTTGTATTAATATTTGTTTCCTTGCTTGCTTTCTTTTTTTCATAGCCTGTGGCATAATTTGCAGTTATTTATTTTGGGTTACTTATTTTTATTCCCCCCCACCACCACCAATTAAAATACAACTCCCATGGATAGCATAGAGATACGGACAGAACAGGCCAGGCCAGGCCCTCAGTTCATTCATGTAGAATAAAAGAAAAAAGAAAGAATGGGATTTGAATTCAAAGCTCTGACTGTCCAGCTCAGTTTCTAACTATATGAAGATACAGGTATTAAAAGAAATGCAATTTTAATGTTTTAGTAGTTTCTGCCACTACCTGCTCATTGCTTGGCCTGACTTTAAGGTTAGCTTTGGCTTGAAACCATTTAGGATGTCCTTACAATGTATGAAAACTAAACCCACAGGAATGTTTTCCTGAGAATTTTAGATCCTATTTGAATATTTTCTTTCATAGATGAGGAAACTACGCCCAGGCAGATGAATTTCCACAAGTGTCACAAAAACTGCTGGTATTCTTAATACCTTTCTTTTTAAAAAGTCCAGTTTCTTAAAAACAGAATAAAAGTGCTGTTTTCCCTAATTTGCATTGAATCATTATGTTCCATTTATTGCATCCCATTATACTCAATAACCATATATTCATCCATCACCAATTCTTTAGTGATTTTATGATATGCCAGGCCCCATGTTACGTGTTTTATCTTATTTCATCCTCATAACCCCATATGCTTTAGGTAAATTTGTCAAATCTTTGAAGAAACAAGGAAGCTTGGGTTTGACAAGCTAAGCAGGTAATGTCACCAAGGAAAGAAAAGGCCAAGCAAGAGAACAAGCTGAGGGCAGATGGATGCCCACATTTTAAGCTCTTGCTACTACGCTGCCTCCCTAAATGAAGATCCAGCAGCACACAGAAGCTAACGTGGTTTTCCAGAGGATTGTGTTTTATTACAAAAGAGCAGCTTTTCACCTGGTGGGAATAAGGCTCTTTTTCTGTAAAGTGATTTCTATCTTTGGCAGAAAGCAACTGCAATACAAAGGCATATTTCACTCTGCTCAGAGCTTGGATCTCCACATACATTGCCATAAGTCAATAGGATCGGGGAAAGAGAATTTCCCCCTGAGCATCTATTTATAGTTACACAGTGCAAATCACTGTATACTTGAAAATCACTTAACCATATTTCAATCATATTAGTGAAACCCTCCAGCTGGTGTCACATCCCTGCTTCTGAGGTGAATAAACTCATTGTATATATTTAAATGTGTGTGTGTGTGTGTGTGTGTGAGAGAGAGAGAGAGAGAGAGATAGACAAAGAGGCAAAAGAGACAGGGAGAGAAAAATCTAATATGGAAGGGGGGAGATGAAATACAGGTGGATGTTTTCCAAATGTTTCCCCAACTCCCATCCTCTGAAATATTAACTCTTTGGACACTGTGGGGTATTCGACACAAACACCTCGTTTGTGATTGTGACAAACATCAGAAAACGTTTCTCAACATCATAACTTTGTTGCAAAACCTGGGACTCTCTATCTCTTGTCCAAGTTTCTATAAGGAACGTGTCATTTTACTCCCTTTGGGTTCTTAGAAATCGCTGTTTTTCCCACCCAACATTCTTTCTTTCTTCTTGGAATAATACCCCAGTTTTACTAGGGAAATCATCCTTGTTGCATTCTCAGTTACGTGGGTTGAGTGGGGCTGATGTGGCCCAGGCCTGGCCAATTAGAGGTGGACAATTCCATCCCCTGGACAATATGATTGGTTATGGAGTGTGAGTAAGGCAAAGCCAGGCCTGTGAAATGTGATCCTAGGGCTTCTGTGGGTCCAGCTGGGAAGCAGGAGTTGGGTGTTTTGTTGGAATGAATGACCTGGAGGAAAATAGGCCTGGAGGAGTGGCTAATGGTCATCCTTGCACCCTCATGAAGAGATGTTTTCTGAATTTAAAACCAATCCAGGAGGAAGCAGCACCAAGAGAGGAAGGGGGAAGGGGCAGGGTGGGGTAGAATTTGATGCTGTTTGACCCCTTGCCTCCTGTCATGTCCCAAATCAGCTACAACTTTGCAAACTTCAGTTAGTTAACCCAATAAATTTTACCTATTTTTCTCGGCTTAAGCAGTTTAGATTGGGTTTCTATCATTTTCCACAAAGAGTCTTGATTAACATGGACGGAAAATCAATGTTTTTAAGAAGTCTTCAATGGAAACAAAAATTGTTATCTTTTCATCACTCTGTCAGCTTTCTTAAAAAACAAAAGCTCATGTATGCTAAATGCCCCCCAGGTGCTTCATTAATAAACTTTAAATTGAGGCTTGATTTTTGTCTTCTGTTTAATCCATAATACATCTCATAGCTGCCAGTGGGCCAGTCAGGCACACCCTCTAGAAAATGAAGTTATATTTGACCTTCCCTCTTGTTCCTTCATCCACAGGATCAGCTCTAATTAATGAGGGTAGCTCCAGCCAAAAGGAAGGGTACTTGAGTTTGGAAGAGCCTTTTGGTAGACCCAGGTTATACTTTCATCCTGGGTCCACAGATAACCTGGTCCTTTTCATAAATTCTTTACACATAACAATAAGCAAATCCCAAATGATTTCCCTGACAGGGGAATCGATGCTGCATAAAAACATCAATGAGTCTTCACATTTTACATAAGAATGGTCTGGTTTTTGGTCCACATAAAACCAAATATTTTCTAACTTCAAGTGTAGGCAACATAAGAGGTTTGAGGATGCTCTGTCTTCTTCTGGACACAAACACACCAAATGCAACAAGAGTCATCTCAAAATATTAGAAGCTATCATTTATAAACCCCCATGTTCTGATAATCTGTCATAGAAGCCCCTCCACAACCCCACTGAGTACCCACCATTTCAACCTCATTCTAAACAGGGGCTTAGAGGGATTAAGAAAGTGATGAAGCTGGAGCTCCAGTGGCGCAATCAGTTAGTGCCGGAACTTGTATAGATAGTGATGAAGCAGATATTGAAATCTACTTCCGTCAAAATCTAGAGTTCTAAGAAACTCCAACTCTTTGGCACAAAGAAAGGGAGGAATACATTTGGATGTGGTTTCCTGCAGCATGCCTTTTAGCCTGAAGAAAGGGGCACAGACTTTCCAAGGTAGGCATAGAAATTGTTTCACCAAATGCACATCTGAGTAACAGGTTCGACCACAGAAAATGTACTCAGAGGAAAAGAAAAGGTAGAACTGAAAAGTTACAACATGCATAGAGTCATATAAAGCTTGTATCTTTTCCTTCCCTTAAATATTAAAAAAAGAATCCTTCAAATTGGTTGGTTGCTGTGCATTAAAACTGGTTCTCTCTCTTTTTAAAAATGTTACCTGTTTTTAATTCTCTTAAAAAATTAAATAGGGTCTTGCCATTTTGCTCAGGCTGGTCTCAAACTCCTGGCCTCTGGTGATCCCACTATCTTGGCCTCCCAAAGTTCTGGGATTATAGGCATGAGCCATCACTCCTGGCCAAAAGTTATTATCTCTAATCCCACTGGAAATGTGTGGACCATTGTCTTGAAACTTCTCAAAGTGTTGCCCTGGTGTCAGTAGCATCAGCATTACCTGGAACACTCATAGAAAGGCAAAGTCTCAGGTCTCACCTCAGACCTACTGAATCAGAATTTGTATTTTTTATTTTTTAGAATTGGGTCTCACACTATCCCCCAGGCTTGAGTACAGTGGTGCAATCATAGCTCATTGTAACCTCATCATTATAACCTGAACTCTTGGCTCAAGGGATCCTCCCACCTTAGCTTCTGGAGTAGCTGGGATCACAGGCATGTGCCACTATGCCTAGCTAGTTTTAAAAAAGAAATTGTAAAGATAGGGTCTCACTCTGTCGCTCAGGCTGGTCTCAAACTCCCGGCCTCAAGCAATCCTCCTGCCATGGCCTCCCAAAGCACTGGGATTACAGGAGTGAGCCAATGCACCCAACCAGAATCTGCATCTTTAATAAGACCCTCAAATGATCTATATGCACATTACAATTTGGGAGAATTAGCCTCAAACAGTTCAGCAAAAGTTTGTTCTTTGGACAGGCAGCATCAGCATCAATGGGAATGTGTTAGAGATGAGAAAGAAGGGAAGGAAAGAAGGGAGGAATGAAGGAAGGTAGGGAAGAGTTGGGTAAGGAAATGAAGGAAGAAATATCCACATTAGTTAGAAATTCTTACATGCCAGAATGTAATGGGGTATTGGAATTAATGTTAGTTCAGTCAGGCAAGACAGCTTAGTGTAATGAGTTTGTGTCAGCCACTCTGAAAGTTTACATCTTTTTTAATTATCATGATTACCCAACTGACTGGTTTCTTTCTAACAGCAGAAAAGTGCAGGGAGCATGTGAGTTAAGCAACATTAGCAGCCCCTACAGCACATGCATAAGGCAAGCAGAGTGGAAATGTCAATCAGGCAAGAGGTGGATATTTTTAGGTTTCTGGAAGAAAACCAAAGGGCTTCGTTTGACCCTGTTTTCCCTGTGTCAGGGTGCCTGGTCTCTACCCACTATTCATCCATTCTTTTCTTTGCTATCCCTTTCACCTTTCATTTCCTTCACCATATTTTCTCCCAGTGGGGGAGAAAAAATGATGATAATACCCATCAAAAAGAGGTCAAATATCACAGGAAGAAAATATCTCAAGGACTCTAATATTTAGCTGACAATTGAACTGCCTGGCTCCCCCCATCCATGTCTCCACACCCACAATGAGTTGAGTCACGGGGGCCACACGTTTTTGGTCTCCTGTTTGAATCTGCTAAAACTCAAAATGTCAAAGTTTCAGCAATATCTTAAAATATGTCTTTCCTCCTTTAAACTGAAATGGTGCTCTCTCTCCTCTTATTTTCTTATATCCTGAAGTAGCTGTCCTTTTTTAGAATATTCTCTCTCAGAGCCAAAACTTTGGTCATCCTTTCAGAATAAGGAGGACTCAGAATGGCAGTCAAATACCTTAGAACTTTATTTTTGGAAGATGATGTTATAAAAGAGACTAACAGTATGATTCTGAAAACATGCCTCACCTCTTAACACCTCTTTGAAACAAAGTCAGAAATTTTTCAACACAAAGAACAAGGAAAATGCATTCTCTGGGCTGTCAATGGCAAGAGACTATAGCTCTTCTAATGAGTTCATGACTAAGAAAAACTCCAGAACTAAGTTATCTTTGCCAGTTTGTATTTATAGTAGCATCTAGCAGCCTTAAAATTATCTGACAATTGTCTAGCAGAGATTTATCGTGTGCGAGTAGTCTTCCCATTGTGGACTACCTATTTGAAGAAATAAGAGGAGTCACAGAAAATGTGCTTACAGGAAAAGAAAAAGAAGAACTGAAAAGTTACAACATGCATAGAGTCATATAAGACTTGAAAAGTTAAAACATGCATAGATCCATATAAGGCTTATATCTTTTCATTCCCTTAAATATTAAAAAAAAAAGAATCCTTCAAATAACCTGTGCAAGATAGAACAAAACTTTCAAGACGTAGAGAAATATCAACATAATCAGTTATCTTTTCATGAAGGAAAATCTCCAAAAATTCCCTGCACAAATTTACTTGAATCAGGGCACCAATCAAAAGCACTTCCATCTATAGGGTGGGATAATTCTTGGGATCACTAGGTACACAGGCTTGGTTTCCCACAGCTGCACCTCATATTTTGGCTTCACACCTCATTTTCCATATAACTTATATGAGTTACTAAAACTTCTGGAGTTTGGTCTCCTTGTCTGAAATGATAATGATGTGACAACCATGGAACCTAAGTAGAACAGTTTTGTTTGAGTAAAATGATACTTGTTAAGGGCTTAGCATACAAGTATGGGTTCAGTAAGTTTCTTACAAATGTTTTAAAATTGGCAAATAATGATTGTATTTTGGGGGTACAATGTGATGTTTTGATGTATGTCCACAGTGTGGAATGATTAGATGAGGCTAATTAACACAACAAGTCTTATCTGTGTGTTCCTATAGACCAGTTTACACAAATGAGTCGGAATAAACTTGACTTGTTGTGAGGAGAAACTCAGCTTTCTCTTGTTAATGCGTTCCCTAGGGAGGAGGATTATTTGCATGCAGGAAGTCAATCAATGGGAAATCTGTTTTTATTGGCACCCAAAGCCCCCTGTACCTTTGGCAATATTCATAGGAGAAACTGGAGTCCACCGAAGGTTCTTTTGCTTGACTGAGCCCAAGAGTGGATGTGCCTCATTAAAGACTAGTCAGGCAGGACACGTAGCTTCAAATTATGATAACAAGCCAATTAAAACCACATACTTATCGCTGAGAGTTGGGCAGCATCCTCTAGAGAGGTGGAACACAGAAGACAGGTTAACTGCTGAGCCAGAGCTGCCAGATTCTTTGGCCTTCCCTTTCCCATCCTCACTATGTGCCAAGCATCTGGGAACTGTGTCTTCCTCTGCTCTCACCCGGATCCTTTATTATGTGTCTCCTGCAATGCCCCATGCTCCTAAATCCACATCACATAGTTTGCAGCCCTATGTTCTAGAAATGCAGAATTTCAAATGTGCAACAAGTCTCGGTAAAGGGAGAATAAAAATACTGTATCTTCCAGAAAGGTATAAAGATCAAACGAGTTTCTGTTTGTGAAAACCCTTATAAACCATGAAAAACAAACCAAATGCCAGTATCATGCGGGATGGTAGTGAAGGGGTGTCAGAGATTTACTTAGGACCGGGCTGTTTATATCTACTCTTCTGGGTAAAGACAGCAGTTATGTTTCGTATAAAACCTTCAACTTCACAACCCTTGTGATACAGATCTCTTCAATTAAAGGTATTTTATATCTCAATCTCATTCTTTTAAGCCAAAGATCAAGCTTCACTCTCTACCAACTGCTGGGACACCTTTATTACAGTGTGTAAAAGCTTAAATGACCATCCTGGCTGTAAATTAAAGCGCGCTACATGAGAAAGATGACATTCCACTCCTGTCTCAACTCAGCCTGAACACTGACCACTTTTCCTTAATAGTATACTTATCACGGGTGCTTTCTTTTGCCTATGAAGGGAACATTTTATGTCCTGACATGCAGCAGCCTGGCACAGGCAAGAAGAATAAGAACTTGCTGACTATGTCAATAGAGCCTAATCTGACAGTGCCGTTCAATTTAGAAACTCAAGACATTAGCATTCCAGGGATTATACAATTTTTTTTCTTCTTAATATTCTGAACTTTTACTTTCAGGCATAAACCTTTTAGGATGACATGCTAGAGCTGTGCAGTGCCCCAGAGAAAGAGTCCTATACCACTAAGGCCTGGCATTTTAATTAGCCATGTCTGGGCTACACCTGCAGCCCAGATGTAGAAGGCTGACTCAGCTTCTGCAGTACGCAACAGTTCACAGCCAGGGGAATGAACGGATCTGAGTATCTTGCGCCAGTTCTGTAATGAGCCTCAGCAAGACAGGCTCCTTCCAACCAGCTGTAAGGCCATGCTTTTCTGGTTCATGTCATCTTTCTCAGGCCTGGAGGTGAACCCAGTTAGTTCAGGCCTCATATCACTCTGTGCCCTGGAAAAGTTCCTTCCCCTAGTGGGACATATCAAAACATCTTTCTGAAGCTTCAGAATTCATAGAAATTCCCACCAGGAATGTCAAGTGTGATGTGGATAAACCTTGACAAAAGTCAAAAAGCTGGTCTTGGTAGGATGCTGTGTGAGTGTGCTAAATTACCTTTAATGAATGAATGAGGTGACCCTGATGATGGAGAGTCATTTTCACATGAAAGGACCTCACATATTAGGTTGATGTAGAAAGCAGCCAGGCCAGGGCCCTTTGGAGTACACAGTGAGAATGCTGTGGTTAGACTTCCTAGCAAGGAAGACAAAGAAAATGAAATCCACACCTGTTAATGGCTGAGGGAAATTAAACAGGAGATCAAGATCTAAGGGATCAGAGCCTCAGAAAAGGTTTTGGATGAAATTATTTTAAAAAGAGCTTCCAAGTTTAACAGAATCATGATGAGGTGAAAATAAAAATTGGGATTATGGAAATGATACTAAATTGAACACATATCTTGCTTTGCCAGCAAAATTGTATATGAGTTTTTAAATTTCATATATTAAAAGCCACAATTTTTGCATACATTTTCACATAAATATGAGAATTCTATATGGAGAGACATATTATTATAGCAGATCTTAATAGTTATCAATAAAATCTTAACATATCTTTTTATGTAAATTTGTTTAAAAAACTGACCATCTCTGTCTTCTCAGATGCAACACTAAATTGCTCAAATTGTGAAGGTCTTGAAATAAACAATTATCTATCACTAAAATATGTTTTAAGCAATTTAAGCAGATTTTTGTCAAAAGTTTGGTCTGTCTTTATAATTTCTTTATAGAAATTATATAGAATATAAATTTCTTTATAGAAATTATCTATATATACTTTCTATAAAGACTTTCATTGATAAAGACTTTCATTGACTGTGTTAAGCTCAAAATAGGTAATGCTAGTTTACTTCTACACTAATAGGAATTCTAAGATTTACTTTAAAATGATAACATTGAAACATTTCTCAGAATGTATTGTGTTCTTGCGGTCACTACCTACCCATCCTCTGTCATTGAAATTTTATAAGTTAACTGGTGTAGTTTTCACACAGTTGCTTCCATTTCATTGGCTGGAGTGACTATAAGAGAACCACAGCCAGGTAAGTTTTGCAGACACATAAATGGTGATGAAAAGGTAAAAGATGTTAGGGATGTATGTTGACAGTTCCCAAACTTCAATAATCTGTGTGCCCAATATTTGCCATCTCCACAAACGACCTGAACTATTGTTTATTTTTTCAATCTACTTTATTTATTTATTTTTTGAGTCAGAATCTCACTTTGTTGCCCAGGCTGGAGTGCGGTGGTGTGATCTTGGCTCACTGTAAACTTCACCTCCTGGGTTCAAGTGATTCTCAAGCCTCAGCCTCCCGAATCGCTGGGATTACAGGTGCCTACCACCATGCCCGGCTAATTTTTTGTGTTTTTAGTAGAGATGGGGCTTCACCATGTTGGCCTCAAGTGATCCGCCCACCTCGGCTTCCCAAAGTGCTGGGATTGCAGGCATGAGCCACTGTGCCCAGCCTCAAATCTACTTTATTTTGACCGAAATGAGTATATTTAAAAAAATAAAATTCTATATAGCTGTTATTTGGCAAATCATTCTCATTTGTAAATAGAAGATACACAGATATTGATATGCATTAAAGTAAATGAATAATTTCAAAATCAATGTTTGTCTAAATATGGTATTCCCCAAATCACCTTGTGTGCTTGGATACACGAAACATAGGTTTATAGTGTAATAAAAAGACCTAGACCATAGACTAAGGATGCTGGGTGCCCAGTGCTGTGCTGGCCTGAGACAGAGAATGGCAGGGGATGGTATCCTGGATTGAGAGACAAGATAGGTGACTTTGAGTCCTGACCGCCCCCCGCCCCTCCACTCACTTGCTGTAACTCTTTGAGCAAGTGGCCCAGCCTCTCTCAGCTTCATTACTTGTTCTGTAAAGCGAGGTCATAGGATGAAATCTCTATCACCCCTTCCAGAGTCAAATGCCAGTAACTTCATGACTATGAGTAAGTCCCTGGGCCTCAGTATCCCCTTACAAAATGTGTGTGTGTGTGTGTGTGTGTGTGTGTGTGTGTATGTGTGTGTGGTTAAAGTATCTGTTCTACCTAAGAGGGATTATAGTCAAATTTTGAACATGAAAAATTTGAATTTTTGTGTATGTTCCACAAAAAAATGACAAAATATAAGGATGAGACTAGTCTCTATTCAAGAGACTAAACAGCATATTGTATGTCAGGTATTAGCAAATCACAGTGAAATTCCACCGTATAATATATTGGTTTATACCATAGAAGTATACTTTTACCAATTTTCAGGGTTCAAAACCCTATGTGAGGGATATTAGAATCTCTGAATTGAGACTAAGAGTTTGAGTCCAGCCTGGGCATCATAGTAAGACACCATCTCTTAAAAATATTTCTGAATAAAATCAAACTTCCAACCCCATGAGTAATACTCTAAAAACCTGTATTATGCTGACTAACAGAAAATGCTGTGTTCTATCAGGGGTGACTGTCCTTCCAGATGGATATAACAATCCATGACTCAAATAAGCAGTGTCAATGTTTTCAATAAAACTACAGAAATTATTAAAACTTTATAAGATCTGAAGATTTAAAATGCGTACAACATTTAATGTCTAACATCATTTGAACCATGACATCTGGCCTAACCACAGTCCCAAAAGTGTTCACAGCTACTATTTGACCCAACAACCCCATTACTGGGTATATACACAAAGGAATGTAGATCACTATGCTAAAAAGACACACACACTCATAAATTCATCACCACTATATTCACAATAGCAAAGATATGGAATCAACCTAGGTGCCCATCAGTGGTGAATTGGATAAAGAAAATGTGGTACATATATACCATGGAATACTACACAGCCGTAAAAAAGAATGAAATCATGACCTTTGCAGCAACATGATGGAGCTGGAGGCCATTATTCCAAGCAAATTAACCCAGGAACAGAATACCAAATAATGCATGTTCTCACTTATAAGTGGGAGCTAAACATTGAGCATACATGGATATAAACATAGGAACAATAGATATGGTGGACTACTAAAGGGGGAAGGAAGAAGGAGGCATGGGTTGAAAAACTGCCTATTGGATACTATGCTCACTACCTGGCTGGGTTCAATATACCCATGAAATATATATATATATATATATATATATATATATATATATATATATATATATACCCTCCATATCTAAAATAAAAGCTGAAAATTTAAAAAAAAAAAATCCTAAACCCAGGACTTAGGGTTTGGGTAATCACTAGTTAGTGAATCATAATGGGAGAAAAAAGCAAGAATACAAACTGAGAGGATTATCTAGCAAATGGAAACAGTCCCTAAATTGGACGGTATTTTGGTCAAGTTGACAAAGCCCTTAGTTCACTTGGAGATTGAGCAGAGAGCGTTTCTCCAACTTGCTCAACATGGATCACAAATGATTCTACCTAAATAAATAAATCATTTTATAAAATCAGTCTTTTAGCAGGTAGGTGATATAAATTCACTTTTTCTTTTTTTTTTATTTCAAATTATCTCATACTGGGGTCACTTTCTTTTTTTTGTAATTTTATTATTATTATACTTTAAGTTTTAGGGTACATGTGCACAACCTGCAGGTTTGTTACATATGTATACGTGTGCCATGTTGGTGTGCTGCACACATTAACTCGTCATTTAGCATTAAGTATATCTCCTAATGCTATCCCTCCCCACTCCCTCCACCCCACAACAGTTCCCGGTGTGTGATGTTCCCCTTCCTGTATCCATGTGTTCTCATTGTTCAATTCCCACCTATGAGCAAGAACATGTGGTGTTTGGTTTTTTGTCCTTGTGATAGTTTGCTGAGAATGATGGTCTCCAGTTTCATCTATGCCCCTACAAAGGACATGAACTCATCATTTTTTTATGGCTGCATAGTATTCCATGGTGTATATGTGCCACATTTTCTTAATCCAGTCTATTGTTGTTGGACATTTGGGTTGGTTCCAAGACTTTGCTATTGTGAATAGTGCCGCAATAAACATACATGTGCATGTATCTTTATAGCAGCATGATTTATAATCCTTTGGGTATATACCCAGTAATGGGATGGCTGGGTCAAATGGTATTTCTAGTTCTAGATCCCTGAGGAATCGCCACACTGACTTCCACAAGGGTTGAACTAGTTTACAGTCCCACCAACAGTGTCAAAGTGTTCCTAATTCTCCACATCCTCTCCAGCACCTGTTTTTTCCTGACTTTTTAATGATTGCCATTCTAACTGGTGTGAGATGGTATCTCATTGTGGTTTTGATTTGGATTTCTCTGATGGCCAGTGATGATGAGCATTTTTTCATGTGTCTTTTGGATGCATAAATGTCTTCTTTTGAGAAGTGTCTGTTCATATCCTTCGCCCACTTTTTGATGGTTTTTTTTTTCTTGTAAATTTGTTTGAGTTCATTGTAGATTCTGGATATTAGCCCTTTGTCAGATGAGTAGGTTGCAAAAATTTTCTCCCATTCTGTAGGTTGCCTGTTCACTCTGACGTTAGTTTCTTTTGCTGTGCAGAAGCTCTTTAGTTTAATTAGATCCCATTTGTCAATTTTGGCTTTTGTTGCCATTGCTTTTGGTGTTTTAGACATGAAGTCCTTGCCCATGCCTATGTCCTGAATGGTATTGCCTAGGTTTTCTTCTAGGATTTTTATGGTTTTAGGTCTAACATGTAAGTCTTTAATCCATCTTGAATTGATTTTCGTATAAGGTGTAAGGAAGGGATCCAATTTCAGCTTTCTACATATGGCTAGCCAGTTTTCCCAGCATCATTTATTAAATAGGGAATCCTTTCCCTATTTCTTGTTTTTGTCAGGTTTGTCAAAGATCAGATGGTTGTAGATATGCGGCATTATTTCTGAGGGCTCTGTTCTGTTCCATTGGTCTATATCTCTGTTTTGGTACCAGTACCATGCTGTTTTGGTTACTGTAGCCTTGTAGTATAGTTTGATTTCCTTCTGAAACTATTCCAATCAATAGAAAAAGAGGGAATCCTCCCTAACTCATTTTATGAGGCCAGCATCATCCTGATACCAAAGCCTGGCAGAGACACAACCAAAAAAGAGAATTTTAGACCAATATCCTTGATGAACATTGATGCAAAAATCCTCAATAAAATACTGGCAAACCAAATTCAGCAGCACATCAAAAAGCTCATCCACCATGATCAAGTGGGCTTCATCCCTGGGATGCAAGCCTGGTTCAACATACACAAATCAATAAATGTAATCCAGCATATAAACAGAACCAAAGACAAAAACCACATGATTATCTCAATAGATGCAGAAAAGGCCTTTGACAAAATTCAACAACGCTTCATGCTAAAAACTCTCAATAAATTACATATTGATGGGACGTATCTCAAAATAATAAGAGCTATCTATGACAAACCCACAGCCAACATCATATTGAATGGGCAAAAACTGGAAGCATTCCCTTTGGAAACTGGCACAAGACAGGGATGCCCTCTCTCACCACTCCTATTCAACATAGTGTTGGAAGTTCTGGCCAGGGCAATTAGGCAGGAGAAGGAAATAAAGGGTATTCAATTAGGAAAAGAGGAAGTCAAATTGTCCCTGTTTGCAGATGACATGATTGTATATCTAGAAAAACCCATTGTCTCAGCCCAAAATCTCCTTAAGCTGATAAGCAACTTCAGCAAAGTCTCAGGATACAAAATCAATGTACAAAAATCACAAGCATTCTTATACACCAATAACAGACAAACAGAGAGCCAAATCATGAGTGAACTCCCATTCACAATTGCTTCAAAGAGAACAAAATACCTAGGAATCCAACTTACAAGGGATGTGAAGGACCTCTTCAAGGAGAACTACAAACCACTGCTCAATGAAATAAAAGAGGATACAAAGAAATGGAAGAACATTCCATGCTCATGGGTAGGAATAATCAATATCGTGAAAATGGCCATACTGCCCAAGGTAATTTATAGATTCAATGCCATCCCCATCAAGCTACCAATGACTTTCTTCACATAATTGGAAAAAACTACTTTAAAGTTCATCTGGAACCAAAAAAGAGCCCGCATCGCCAAGTCACTCCTAAGCCAAAAGAATAAATTCACTTTTTCTATCAATGTCTTGTGAAGGGACATCTCAGTTAAAACTAAATCCCTTTTCTTGTTCATTTTGCATCCTAATTTGTGGAGTTCCACAAGTGTTACATTGTTGAACTAAAGAGGTTAAATTGAAAAGGAAAGTAAAGCTGTGGAATACACAGTTAAATCCCTAATGGCATAATTTCGTTAGGATGTCATTAAAAATACCCTAGCACCTTTCCATTCAAAATGCAGTCCCAAAGACCCACAGTGGCACCTGGGAGCTTTTGGAAATTAAGAGTGTCAGTCCTCACCCCACACTCACTGAGTCAGCATCTGTGGTTTATCGACATCCCCAGATGATTTGAGAATCCCTGCCCACGTGTGCCTTTGGGAAGAGCTAGATGTGAGTCCTGGCATGCTGGTCAGATTCTAAGTTACTGCGTGGGCACTCTTGATCAGAATCCAGCAGAACCTGATATTTCCAAGGGTCTAGGTGAGATCTGTAGCGACTTGAAAATGGCACTTGTTGGCTGTTTCTGACAGAAGATGCAGAAGAGAATAAAACATGCCCTAGCATATTTCTGATAGAGTTCAGTTCTGTGACATCCCAAGGAAGAAAGTGAACCTGGAAAAACATATTCAACCTCTTCTGATACTCCAACAAGTACCCAGTAAGGTTGGACTAGAAGATTTCCAATATTAGGCATAAATTGGTATATTTGTTATGTGGCTCTGAGAAACCACACCATTGACAGCTGATCTTTCTTTTGCTGTGGCATAAGCATTATCTGGAGTTTCGATTTGAAATTATTCTCTGAACACTTAGATTCACCATGGTAACCACTCAGTTAAATAGAACGACTTAAAGTCACACACAGTTTCTTATTCTTCTGAGAAAAGAATTATTAAAAAATACTTTTGAGTGAATAGAAAGTTGATCATAATTTTGTAAAAAGGGAGCATAGTTAGTAATTCTCAATACGGTCAACAACATGCCATGCTCAAGTCCTGACCAATTGAAGCCAATATATTACATCAACTTGAATACATCAACCACGAGTGTATGCTGACTAAAGGTCAGCCCTGGTTTCCAAACCAATGTAGCCATTTAAAGGAAAATGTTTTGAAATATTTTAGATTTACAGAAAGTTGCGAAGATACTACAGAGAGCCCTTCCATACCTTTTACCCAACTTCTCCTAATATGAACACCTTATATAACCACAGCACATTTGTCAAAACTAAGAAATTAACATTGACACATTACTATTAACTAAACTTTATTTGGATTTTACCAGTTTTTTCACTTTAGTCCTTTTCTGTTCCAGGATCACACATTGCCTTCAGCACCCATATCTCCTTAGCCTCCTCCTAATCTATGACATCTTTCTTTCCTTCTGTTTCATGACCTTGAGAGTTTCGAAGAGATATTTTATGGAATGTCCATGAAATTGAATTTTTCTGATGTTTCCTTATAGTTAGGCTGGGGTTATGAATTTTAGAGAAGAAAATCACAGAGGTGAAATCAGGGGGCACATGATAACTTATCATTGGATATGTTAAACTTGGTCACTTGGTTAAGATAATGGCTTCCAAGTTTATCCACTGTGAGGTTACTATTTTTACCATCATTTCAGTTTCCATACTCTATTCCTTGGAAGCAAGTTACTGAGTCTAGCCCATACTCTAGGGGAAGGTTGGCCACTTTTTAGAGGATGTAACAGTCCCTTCTAAGCTCACTGCATGAAGAAGTATTATTTCCTCATTTGTGAATGACATTAATGATAATTAACTCAAAAGGTTATTGTGAGGATTAAATAAAATCATGAGTATTATGCACTTAGCCCAGTGCTTGTCACATACTAAGTGTTCGTTTGTTGATGTAATCATTGATTCAACAACTATTAATTAAGCACCAACCACATCTTGTCTGAGGCAGAGTACAGCACTTAAAAAAAAAAAAAAGATGGACACCGTCCATGGCTTTATAAAGTTAACTGTCTATTGGGGAAGACAGAGGTTAAACAAGCATATAGAAAACATGACACCACAAATTATAATAAGTTATACAAAGGAAAAGGTCAGTATGCCCTGTTGGAAATTAGATTAAGGATGGGGAGAGGCCAATTTAAATTCTGGGGTCGGGTGGCTGGGCTTTAAAGGAGTGCCATCCAAGAAAGTTATGTTTAGCTGAGATCTAAGGGATGAGCAGGAGTGAGAGATAGAAAGTGTGAATGGCAGATGTCCTGTGTAGCAGAACAGCAGGTTGCAAATACCCTGAGGCTGGAAAGAACTCCATATAGTCAAGGGCCAGAGAGAAGGCTGGCATAAGCAGAGCGTTACGAGTGAGGGAAGACATGAGATGAAGCTGGAAAGGAGGCAAGAGCTTGATGCTTTCTGTTTATCCAAAGTCCAACTAATGAGTGATGCCAAGTGTAGGAATGACATGAACCAGTAGAGAATCATAAGAAATGATATTGGCTGCCGTGTGGAAAAGAGACTGGAGGGGGCACAAAGATGTCCCAGGGATGTGACTATTGTGGCTCATACAAAGGTTTTGGGGCCAGATGGTGGCAGCAGAGAGTGAAAAGCAGATGCAATCACTTGATAAACACATAAACATGTATCAAATTTCCTCCAATCTTCTCCCAATTACCTGACTGATTTATATTATAATTAACCCTCCAGTCTTATAACCCTAGAATCAAATTTGCTATCCTCTTCTTCCAGAGTGTCCAAATAACATTTTACACAATGCCAAGGCCATGTACATTAAACTATGTACAAGACTATGTGAATTTAAGAAACCCCAAAATAATTTTACAGACGGAATTCTTTCAATGACACCTTTCTCTCTTAGGGTGGGCACCTGAGAGTAACATCCTGGATCAAGCACTGTTAAAAATGTGACTTTGTACTACAATATGTGGAGATAGGTACTATTATTATCCCCACTTTACAGATGTGGTAACCAAGGCACAAACATGTTAGGTAGCCTAATCAAGGTCTTGGTCTCCCAGCCAGTCTACCTGCTCTGACCACTGTGACACACCTCAGAGCTAAGGAAGTTCTGGTTTGAGAGAACTCCTCGTATTGAAAAAGCAGCATTTCCCCTGTGGCTAAAGGAAGACTTTTTGAGGTGAGGAAGTGTATTTACAACTGTGGAAACTCCTCAGTAAGTAGGCACTAGGACCTCCCTCCAGAGTCATCCAATATCAAGTGGGAATAAAAATTCCTTTATTCTACTCACACCTAAAAGGAATGTTATAATGCCTCAGTCTAAAGGTGCTTGGAGTAGCCATCTGATCTGATGTTAGAATCTAATATTTGGAAAGTATTTCAATGCGCTTTTCTGGCTTTGATAAATAGTATCTATTTATCAAAGATAAATACTCTAGCAGAGTTAGTATTCTGAAAGGAAACAATTATTAGTAAATAGATTGATTAACAAATTAATTCATTCACAAATTATCAGTAAATTGATTCATTAGCCTCTCTTCTGTTAATTAAAAGTGTTTGTTAACACTGAAATATCAGTGTATTACAGACTTAACTGCCTGTTAGCCAGAGAAATGGACTAGTTTTCCACTTCCTATTAGCCCATCTCCAACCATCCCCACTTTGGACACTTTAGTCAATATCTTCAGAAGACAGAAAATCCTAAGAAGCCTAGGGTCCCTTAAAAAATAAATCATTATCCTTCATAAAACAAACAGGCAAACAAATAAATTAAAAAAAACCCTATAAAACTCTCAAGAATGGGCTTTGGTTTTCTATTAGTGATCCTCTATGCTGTGGCCATTGACCCTGGCATCACCTGAACGGACATAGAGACAACATTTAGCTCCAAATCCCAGAAATAAAGTGGGATATATAGGTCCCTTCACAATAAATGTCACATCGAAGGAAAAATAGTGGTGATTACTGATTGTACACTAAGACCTTAAAAAAAGTTCTCAATTCTCAATACTTCCTTGGTACACTGAAGAGTTGGTGAATATTTTTCATTATCCAGATTTAATGATTACTGCAATCAGAACCGAACCAATAAATGTAAATGGATTATGTTTTTCTAAATTGAACACAAATAAGATTTACAAAATATAGGTTTGTAAGCCAAACCTAATAAAAGAGAAACAATAATATTTAATAAAAAGTTATTTGAGAACTAAAGAATATTCTTTATTCCTTCTCTATCCATTCACATTTCTCAGATTGAATCATTCCACTTTAATCTAATTGTTTGTGTCAGCAGATGACCTAAAGATGAATGAATACTCTTCATCTGTTTCACTAGCCCTTATTTGATGTATTGCTTCCTTTTAGGCAAAATGGCCACTCTTCAGAATGATTTTTATTTCCTGTTGTAAACCAAATATCTTTTGAGTGACAAGTAATTCATTACAAAATTCATTTTCTCCCTACTTTTCAATGAGGCCAAGTGGCTGCTACTTCCAAAGCTAGTTTTTTGGGCAGAGTGTCAAATTACCTTTTCTATTTATTGTACTGTGTAGGCTGGCACTGTGGGTTTGGCTTACTGCTGGCAGGATTAATTTAGCATTCTCTAACCAATCAAACAATCTCATTACTCTCTTCTGCCTATATAATACAATGGCCCTTAGTACAGTAAAGTCAGACATGAACATCCTAGAAGGTCACTTTCAGAGAACTGGGACTTAATTGTGGTAGGTCTACTGTTAAATCCTGGGATCATCTGTAATATTCCTATATATCTTTACCCTTCCTTTACCTTACCTTTATCTTTATTTCCACAGAGGAAATAACTTGGCATCACAGCATGTCTTTGGTTCCCATATGAATAGATTCCAGTAGTATTATTTAGAAAGTGACCTCAGTAATTATAGTCCCCTCCCCACCATGAAAGCCATATGGAAGTGTTTCATTTCAGAGATTAATGCAAATGATGTTACAAGTATCTTTCTTCCAGGTTTAAAAAAGTCTTCTGAAATTACACTAAATTTTAGGTAGGTATTAGCTGACATTAATGAAAAAGCACATCTAATTACTATACTTCCACTAACAATCGTCTTAGGTGGTTCAATTTTGATGAAATTGATTTTCATATTTTTCTCAGTAATTATTTCACTGTCTTTGTCCCATATTCTAATATTGAATTCTCATGTTCTGTGTTTTATCCATGTTGAAGACCAATGCCCAGTAGGAAGTATACTCATTTCTCAATGGATAGACAGATTAGATAGATAGATAGATAGATAGATAGACAGATAGATAGATAGATAGATAGATACATACATACATACATACATACATACATAGACAGGTAGATAGATAGACAGGCAGACAGACAGACAGACAGATAGACAGAAACACAGAGTTCCATGCATAACTTTCAGAAACCCAAAGAAACTAATGCTGTAGTCATTTTTACAGATTTGCCAATTATGTTTGCAGCTTCTGTAAAGTAGGAAAGCACTGAATCAAAACCCAGTTGCCACATGATAATGACCTTCAATCTGAAACTAATGTCACACAATAATGACCTTCATTCTGCATTAACCTGTATTAGAAGGGGCACAAAACCTGTTTCAACTCCAGAACCTTGTTATTTAAAACATACTACCTGTTTCAATATTGCACTCATTAGACAAACATCTAACCTTCTAATTTAGTATCATTGACCAAGAAAAATGTCATGATAAAATCCTCCCCATGAGAATTCAGAAAATAATCATTGTACTATCTAGCATTGCTGCCAACTACCTGCCAGAAAGTTGAAACATAACCCAATCATCACCTGCCATGCATCACCATTAGGGTTCTTCAGTCTGGCTGGAGAGAGAAAATATTAATGTAAGACAGTTAAACAGCAATGCAAAGGGTTAGATGAGTATGCAGTAAGTAGTGCACAAAATCTGAGCTGCAGAAATAGAAAGAAGTGAGAAACAATATCTATACAGAGTGGCCAGTGATGGTTTCACAAATGGGTGAGATTTGAAGTAGGCCTTACTTAAGAGATGGATAAGATTCTGTGATCATAGAAGACTGGACCATTTGGGAAAACCATCTGGGAAGCAAGATTAAAGTACGCAAGGGCAAGGAGATGGGATTGTAAAAAGCATGTTCATTTTGACAAGTATACCAACTTACCTGGTATACAGTGGGAATTATAAACAGCAACCTCAAAAGGTAACCTTTATCGAGTGCTATGTCCAGCTATTTTTTCTAAATGCTTTTATAAGTATTAGTGCATTTAACCATCACACCAGAAATATGAGGTAGTTATCATAATTACCTACTGTATTAGTCGGTTCTCACACTGCTAATAAAGACATACCCAAGAGTGGGTAATTCATAAAGAAAGAGGTTTAATGGACTCACAGTTCCACATGGCTGGGGAGGCCTCACAATCATGGTGGAAGGTGAAGGAAGAACAAAGACACATCTTGCATGACACCTGGCAAGAGAGTTTGTGCAGGGGATCTTCGCCTTTATAAAACCATCAGAGCTCATGAGACTTATTCACTATCATGAGAACAGCACGGGAAAGACTTACCCCCATGATTCAATTACCTGCAACTGGGTCCCTTCCACAACACAGAGGAATTATGGGAGCTACAATTCAAAGTGAGATTTGGGTGGGGACACTGCCAAACCATATCACCTAAATTTTACAGGGCAGCTACAGAGATTTTAAGTAGCTGGGCAATAACATAAGTTTAGTAAGTGGTAGAGCCAGAATTGGTACCCAGGCAGTTTGGCTTCAGAAAGTACTTATAGCCACTATTCTTAACTGTGTCAGTGCCTGCAATGATAAGACAGATGCCTCCAATGATAAGAGAGATGCCTGACGATGTCTGATTTTACAGAGTGGTGGAGACTGTGGAGAACTGGAGAGCTCTTGCCCCATCCAAAATGGGCAGCCACTACCCAGCTTCAGCTTTGTGGGACCATGGGCCCAGTACTGTCAGATTCAATTTTTTAAAGAGATATCAGTAATATAATTTGATGTAATTTTTTTAAGAATAGCATATAGTCAAAATATAGTCTGAAGGTGACCAGTTTGAGACATGAGAGAATGAGGAGAAATGAAATTGAACATGTAGGCTAGTATTGGATCATTGAGGGTTCAGGAATCCTGGGAAGTGAGAGCAGACAAGACTTGAGACAAAACTTGAAACCTGAATAGTAGCAGGAGCAATGGAAAAGAAGGGTTACATCTGGTGAATTTCATAAGAGATAATTAATTGGACCTGTGACTGGAGAGGGAGATTTGCTGACATTTAGGATCAAGGAAGAAGATGAGAAACAAGCCAACTGAGATTATGAGTGAAGAGATCTCAAAGAGATCTCATTGTCTTTATAAAGGCAATGACAGAGCACATATACATGGAATTATCTGTTGAGTGACTGAGAAGCTGGGCTGTGATTATAAATGACTGAGCCTTGGGAACTGCATAGACCCCAGTGTGAGTCCCGATGATGGGGCTTCCCACATATGTGACATGGATGAGTTAGTTAACATTCCTTTAGATTCAGTTTCCTCACAGGTAAATCACATCACTCCTTTCCTGGCACCTACATATGGCTGATCAAAAGAAAGAAACCCAGTGTTTTTTCCTGCCCTCCAAGGCTTTGGCACTATCTATCAGCTCATATTCCTCCAACCCCTCTCAGCACATTTCACTCACAGAGGCCATGCTGTGTTCTTCACAAGCACTGTTTCTGCCTCAGGACCTTTGCACATGATGGTTCTTCCACCTGAAACACTTTCCCCCTGAGCTCACAACATCCCTTCTTTTAGGTCTCTGCTTAAATGTCATCTCCCTGATGTCTCCTCCTCCTTCCCCTCTTCTTTCTCCTTCACTTTCTCCTTCCACATATTGTCTTTCTCCTCCACTGAAATGCAAATCTTTGTTTTCTTCATTGCTATATCCATAGCACCTAGGCTGTTGCCTGGTCTAGAGTGGGCATGCAATGAATGAATGAAATGAAAATGACAAAAGAAGGGAATATTGTAACTCCTAACAGAGAAGTGGCATGTAGATAAAATGAGAATATGTGTCTTAGTACTTAGCATATAGCCATAGCAAACTTTTTTTTAAGTAGCTAAAAAGGATAGGAAATGCCACACTGTGGGCAGGGAACTGGAGTTGAGCCCTAGAATTTGGAGTCTGAGACTATGAACAGGCTTCTGGGCAGCTCAGTCTGTATCCATTGTCACCACTCACACTCTCAAGGGTCTGTTGTCCGAGTTCTTGAGGAGACTTCTGAATGTTACCAAATGAGAAATAGAATAGCCACAATGGTGTATAATAGACTAATAATTTATTTTGGTTTTTTTTTCTTGATTAACAATAATCTACAGGCTGCCATTTATCACTGCTTGCTGGTAAGTTGGAGATTTGGGAATGGTATGGCATGAAACTAAAAGCAATGAAAAGTTGAAAGAAAGCAAATGCCATTTCTATCATATGTATTGTAGTTATTTTAAAAATTACTATTACATTACCATAAGAGAAATAGGGTTCCTTTGCTGATTTTGTAGGTAATTATATCCCTTAGGAATTGTAATTGACTTGAAAATAGATCCTTGTCCTGCAGGATCAGGCTCCAGGGAAGAAGGAAATTGCTAAAAAAAAAAAACAACAAATGACTAAAAGATCATTTAGGCTTGCCCAATTTAGCTAATTTTTTTTTTCTTGGAATCCCTGTCTAAATCCCCGCTCAAGTAATTTTTGTTCTGCCTTAGAGACTGGTCACCTAAAAAAATAAGTAATAGGTGGGAATTTTAAAGCATGCAAGGTACCTCTTAGCTGACTGAGTACATCAAGATTTTGGGGAAAGAGCTACTCTCTTGAGAATAGGGAGTATTGTGTGTTATTCCTAGGAAGCCTGGATAGCTGCTGTGGGGACGCTGTGAGGACAAAATATGCAGTGGAGGTTAGTTCAAGGGCCCAGGCTGAGCCAGGAGTAATCTGATTCCTAGTTTAGTTTCTAAACTCCTAATATTAAGCATTGGTGTGTTGCACTTTCTTGGAATACTATGAGCAAGTATGTCTTATATGATAAGCTCATTCTATAATCTTACGCTATAAGATCAGTTCTGAGACTGTCTCCAAATGAAGCCCAAATGCGTAAACAGTAATAACAGCCATGTGTACCTCTGCAGGGTATACTATTATAGTCCCCTTTGGAAAGATAAGCAAATAGAGAGCCAGTTTTGCCCAGGGTTCCACAGTTAGTACATGGAGAAGTCTGGATTAAAATCATCACCCTGGATGATGAGGCGGGGACAAAGCTATAAGTGATGAGAGCGTATAGTTACTCCCTGGAAATGCTTTTCCTCCCAGAATGAATTTATCGTATGACTTAACATTAATAAATTAGTCTCAATATACGTTTGGGAGATAGAAAAAGCTGAAGGAACAATAAATGTTTCTAGAGCCATTTTTCATTGTTTGGTGCTATTCTAGACACGTGGCCTTCGGAGGCTGTGTGATTCAAACACATGAATCACACTAAAGTTGTCTACCCAAGAGGAGACACTCCACCTCTGGCTCAGGAGGGTACTCACAAAAAAACCCAACAAATCTCCTTGTCAGGGCTTCATATTGGGTCAATGGTGTGCCTTCTCTACTTTTAGCAGCCTTAATTTAATTCTGCTCTTTTATGACTGAGTGGGTGAAATGGACCTCAGGAGGGCTTTCTGATTTTCCCTTTCAGTTTTCTTCTTCTTTCTTGGTGCGACTTGCTCTTAGTCCTGACTGTCTGCTGTCCTATGCCTTTCAAATCCAGATTTGGTAGATTGGTGGTGGAGGGTACCCAAGTTTTTTTTGCCTCCTGAGCAGCCATTCCCCTTTTACTGATAACAGAATCTCAATTTCCTCTGGGGAAACACCACTCTTCTTATGCTGTTTGATACATAGGACAAATGACACATCTCAAGCCCTGACAGTTGTGATTTTGTCAGTGACGCCTTATGACTCAAACCAGGTACTGAGACTGAGTTGTCAGAGCTGTGACTAAAACAGCTGGGGAAGACATTTTCTCCCAAGTAGAATTGCTGAGCTAGTGGAGTTGAAGCCTGGAATTCCCAAAGTGATCTTGACATGGTAGAAAGGGTCTGCCCGGTAGTGAGGGCAACATGGGAAAGGCAGAGTCAGGGACTAGGGGAGATCAAGTCCTGGGGATAACATCCACATTCCTCCATCTGATTATTCCCTGGATTATTTTAGTCACCTGAGCAAATCTGTTTCTTTTGGTGCTTATGACCATTTGAATTGGGTTTCTGAAGGCAGGTGGCCTGTGTGTGGGTGATCTGTTGTGCTGAGCCCCTATTACCTTCAGTAGGGAAGGCACCAGGTTCAAGAGGCTGAAGAAGAGACCCAGAGCCAGCAAATAAGATCTGTGGTTTTATTAGGGGCTTTCATACCGTGAAGAGAGTTCTGTGGCAGAGGGCTGGACAGGAGAACACCCTTAATTACAGAAATGGTCCCATGGCAATGGGCTGGACAACATATTCGCCTTCCTACAGTCCAGTGGCTGTGGGCTGGACAGGAAAACTACAACTGCCTGCAAACATCATGCAGTTTATACAGCATTTTTACTTAACACCCTCCCCTAATGACCTGCACCTGGCAAACTTCATCTACCCTCCCTACCCCACCCCCAGCCCCCGCCCCCCGCCCCCCGCCCACCACCCACCCCGCAAAACTCAGGACTCAGATGTTTATCATAGATAAGGAGCCCATCTCCAGGTTTG
Organism: Homo sapiens; assembly: GCF_000001405.40. NCBI lineage: Eukaryota > Metazoa > Chordata > Mammalia > Primates > Hominidae > Homo > Homo sapiens. The sequence continues at coordinate 68,248,658 of NC_000003.12, read as the reverse complement.
CCATTCCCAGATTCCCCAGCTCTGAACACACATTCAGGTGCATCTGCCATACAGAGTCATTCTCAGGGTATGCTTAAGTTATTGTTGTCAGGTGCATTTACCGTACATTGTCTTCCAACCAATCAGGTCAACTGTAATAACATGTTTACTTTAAGATCTGGTTTCTATCACTTTATGATCTTCTTTTCCTCCAAATGGTTTATCTCATCCTTAATCTTTTCTCAATAATTTTATTTCTAGAAACATCAAGCCTAAGGCAAATTGAAGTCTTTTCCCCACTAATGATCTACAATTATATAGCTTTATCAAGTGTTTCTACTTACTGGTTCTTGTTAAGGTTTTGTATTAACCAAACTGGGGATTTCTTGCATTATAAAATAAGCCCTGACCTTACACTTTACAAACAAATATTTATGCAATATTGCCACTGCATAAAGGTTATGAGAAATTAACACGATGAATATTTTTAGTGTTTGAATCATTTAGCTTTTTTGGTTTTAATGAGCATGTATTGAAAGTCAGTTATGTACAGAAGGCTCACAATCACCCTATTCTCAAAGTCTAAACCTTAATATGAGAATTTTCCCCCAACAGTCTGCAACTAAGTACTCTAAGTGAGGTCACACCTAATTCTGCCTTTTAGCCAACAGTGGTTCAATATTCAAATTATCTTTACTTTATGAACATAAACCATAGCCTGGAAATTTAAGTTACCTTTCCAAAATTACCCTACATTATTAACACAGACAGAATTCCTACTCATTTCTATACAAATAAAGAGAAAGGGAGATCAGACCAATTGATTCAGGCTCAGAGCCCAACTTCAGGAGAGCTCAGAGCTCAACATACTCACCAGAGCTTGATTCAATTAGCCAATTGAGAGACTTGCTCCTTCACATTCTGCAACAGAGTCATGAATCGTGTTGCTGTTTTAAAAAATATATACTTATGATATTCCTTTATCCCATACAGGACTGCATTCAGATTGCGGCCAAAAGGAACTTGCAAAAGTGAAAAGGATTTATAAAGTACAAATAAAAATGACACGGGTGGGGGAGTTGGGAGAGAGTAAAGTACGGCCACCCTTACAGCCCTGCAGCACCCGGGCCTCAGTGTGCCTGGGTGCAAAACAGCCTGTCACCTCCAGGCCCCTCAGCATACCTGCAGCATGAGGGACCTGAGGTGGCTTCAGGCAAAAAGCACTGCAAAACTGACAAGGTCCCTAATGCTGTCCACTTGAGCAGGTCTGCTGGAGTTCACCAGAGCTGGAACTAGGACAGGTGTTAGTGCTGGTGACATCTGGGGAGAAGAAAAAATAATTCTTGCATATGCTTTTTTTTTCTTTCCTAAAGCAGGAGGAGAAGAAATGAGAAAAATAGGAAAATTCCTAGCAAAAAGGAAGAGACTTTTGTCCAAAGGTTGCATGTGAAAGAGATTTAGTTAGTATCTGAGGGAACATTCAGGTGGACTTTATCACAACAAAATTTTGTTTCTAATCACACTCATCTTTTAAGATCCAGGGAAGGAGGAAGAGAGGGAGGATAGAGAGTCAGTATATAGCGTAGGTGGAGGTATTAATAATAATACATCGATGTTTACTATGTGCCAGGAATGTTGCTGATTATTATATGTAGTCATTTCTTTCTCACATCAAGCCAATGAGAAAAGAGTCATTTGATCATACGGCATTTAACTGACAGAGAAATTGAGGCACCAAGAATCTAAGCACCCTGATTCCATGTTCTAACATTTATCATCCTTCTGAATCCTCAGATTTCCCCAATCTTGAACTCCTTTTGACCTAGGAAAAATGAGGCTTTGCCCATTTTCAAAGTGTCTTAAATCCTGGCAGTACAGCCGAGATTTGAACCAGTCAGTCCGAGCAGAAACACCTGTGGAACTACTTCACTATGATGCAACAGAAGCGATATTCTTAGATGGAGATAGTGCTTTGTCATTTGGAGAGTTCTTTCACTGTATCGTCTCATTATGTATTAACAATAGACCAATGAAGTCCGTAGTTACCTTCTCAATTTTTTTTTTTTTTTTTTTTTTTTTTTTTTTTTTTTGAGACGGAGTCCCGCTCTGTCGCCCAGGCTGGAGTGCGGTGGCACCATCTCGGCTCACTGCAAGCTCCGCCTCCCGGGTTCACGCCATTCTCCTGCCTCAGCCTTCCGAGTAGCTGGGACTACAGGCGCCCGCCACCACGCCCGGCTAATTTTTTGTATTTTTAGTAGAGACGGGGTTTCACCGTGTTAGCCAGGATGGTCTCCATCTCCTGACTTTGTGATCCACCCGCCTCGGCCTCCCAAAGTGCTGGGAATACAGGCGTGAACCACCGCGCCCGGCCACCTTCTCAATTTATAGAAAAAATATTGAGACCAAAGGACTGAAAGCAGATTGAACAAGATTATTAGAGATTCTTTATTCTTGGTTCAGGTGTGTTTCCCCAGGATGGTTGGGACCCCTGGGAGGTTTGTTTGGACACAATGAAGGCAACGGATGCCAACAGTTCCAAGGTTCATTTCATTACCTTGCAAGCTCCACATGGAGATGTGGAAACAGGCATGGAAATAGCAGACAGAGGATGGTACCGGACATCGTCGTTGACTCTGAAGATAGAGCAGGGAACAAAACACACAGATCCCTGTCCTCAGGGAGCTTGCATTATTGGAGACTGTTTTGAGTCACTTTATTACCTATGCCTGTGTCTTATACCATACCCGCTTTATTACCCTGGCTGTCCTAGATGAGCCCTCTTTTATGACTCTTGTAAAAGACCAACATATTTCCTCTTGCTTCCAAAAGACCAGCTTATACATTTCGCAAAACACGAAGACAATAAAAGCTAATCCTCAAGAGCAAAACATTGATTTCCTTTGTGATCTGTACTTGCAGGATGGGCAGGTTTAGAATTAGAAGCTGCTCAAGGTCATTTAGCAAGTAATCAGTAGAGGAAGCAAGGCAATTCATCTTCTGATTTTTGCTCTATCCATGACATTTTCTATTTGCTAAAGGTGACCAAAGTATCAAATGTTTATGAAAGAAAATGGAACTACGGTAAAACTCTGCTATCAATCCCCTTCCAAGGAACATATGGTATCAGGTGACCCTCTTGTTCACTTTGTCTTAGTATCCATATCTATGCAAGCCTCCATGAAATGAAAAGTAGAACAGTAGAAATATATGTAAATTGAGGGTGTAACATGTAAATCACAAAGAAAACATTACTACAGGTTAATATCTGGGAAAATAGCTTATCAAGATTTTAAAAAAGAATTAGAGACTCAATAAATAAAGAAAGTCATCCTTAGCTACATGGCCTCTGCTAAAAATCAACACAGCTTTGGAAGAAGTTCTGTTAAATACAAACCAAGTAAAAGGGAGCAAAACTGTGCTAGATGCTCAGGCCGTAACTACTGGCACGACAAAGTGTATTGTCAAAAACTGATTCAGGATGAAGACTACCATTTTATTTTTTAAAGTGGACATAGATAATATGTCAAATGCCTGGTCAAATTTCGTAACCAGTCTCCAAACCTCCAGCTGAGTTCTTGAGATAGAAAAAACGTATTTTTAAGGGTCTTCTAAAGAGGTCATCGGTCCTGACTATACAACAAAATAAAGGCTTGATAGATGAAAAGCCTTAATTCTGAGCTTCCTTTGGTAAGAAAACATTTTATTACTAAGCATATTATAGGCTTTCAAGTTAGACAGACATGGATTCTACTTTGTGTCACACTGTCTTTATGACTTTGGGCAAATCACTTAATTTTTCCAAAACCTGGCTTCCATATTTCTAAAATGTTGATAATAACAATACCCTGCACGCATTTTTTTCTGCAAATAATAATCAGTTAATAATGCAGGGAATGTGCTTAGAAATATGCCTGGCACAGGGTGGGTGCTCAAATACTTCTAATTATTTTTATGCAGGACATGTAGTTTATTTAAGGACTATGTACCTTTAAATAAATCATGCTGGCTAGGGAGAGTGGCTCACATCTATAATACCAACGCTTTAGGAGACCAAGGTGGGTGGATTTCTTGAGGCCAGGAGTTTGAGACCAGCCTGGGCAAAATAGCAAGACTCTGTCTCTACAAAAAATAAAATAAAATAATCATTCTTTGATTCAATAGGGGAGACATAATCTTTTTAACAAATGGTGCTGGAGCAATTGGGTATCCACAAGCAAAAGAAATAAGCATAAACATAAATCTCACACCTTATAGGAAAATTAACTAAAATGGATCATGGTCATAAATCTAAAAGATAAAACACTAAAATCTCTAGAAAAAAAATAGGAGATCTTCTAAACCTAGGACTTGGCAAAGAGTCCTTAGACATCAAAACAACAACCAATTAATGGAAAAATTGATAAGTTGGACCTCATCAAAATTAGAAACTTTTGATCTGCAAAAGACCCCATGAAGGGGATGAAAAGGGAAATTAGAGTTTGGAAGAAGATATTTGCAAATCACATATGTGACAACGGACTTGCACCTAGAATAAAGATCTTTCAAAATCCAACCTAATTATAAAATAGGTAAAAGACATGGACATTTCACTGAAAAGGATATTTCTATGGCAACCAAGCATACGAAAAGATGTTCAACCTCAGTAGACATTAGGAAAATGCAAATTAAAACCACAATGAGACTTCACTACACATATATCTGAATGACCAAACTGAAAAAGAGTGATCACACCAAATGCTGGTGAGGATGCAGAAAAGCTGTATTGCTCATACATAACTGCTAGAACTGTAATATGGTATAGTCACTCTAGAAAATAGTTTGGCAGTTCCTTTAGTAATTAAAAATGGACTTACCATACCACCCAGAAATCGCACACTGTGGTATTTCTCTCAGTGAAGTTAAAATTTACTTTCCTCAGAATGTCCATGGTCTCTTTATTTATAATGGTCAATAACAGGAAACTACTCAAATGTCCTTCAATGGGTGAATGGCTAATCAAACTGTGGTCCATCCATAACTCTGAAATATTACTCAGCCATAAAAAGAAATGAACTATTGACACACACAACTTGGATGAACCTCAAGGAAATTACGCTGCATGAAAAAAGCCAATCTCAAAAGGGTATATACGATATGATTTCATTTATATAGTAGTTGAGATATAGAGTCAGAAGAGATTAGTAGTTGTGATGGGCAGGGCAGAGGGTGAGGAGGTGTAGGTATGGCTATGAAGGGGTAGCTTAAGGAAGCCCTGTGGCAATGTTACATTAAATATCGTAATTCTGGAGGATGGTTAATGAAGGTACCCATGTGAGCATAGATCTACACACACACACATGCAAATGAGTACAGGTATAACTGGTAAAAACTGTAAAAGCTCTGTAGATTTTACCAATGTCAGTTTCCTGGTATTCCTTGATATTATACTGGTATTATGCATGATGTTAATTAACACTGGAGGAGGCTGTGCAAAGAGTACATGAGACAGCCTGGTACATTTCTTTGTAATTTCCTATGAATTTATAATTATTTAAAAATAAAAAGTTAAAGAGATTATTACAGCCTAGGTGACAGAACAAGACCTTGTCTCGAAAAAAAAAATCATTAAAGAAAGATAAAGCTCACTGGTATGATTAAGATATATGATCCAGTGCCAATCACCACCCCCAAATCTAGTTTTTAGCCAAAATCCAGGGAAGACTAATAATCATACAATCATATAATCCATCAGGGATAAGTTGATCTTTTTTCTGCTCTCTGTTCAAGAGGATAAATATCAACTTAAAATGCTTCTTAGGAAATAGGAGATAAAAAAATGTAGTTTATTTCATCACACTTTTTCCAATGCACACACACACACACGTCTCACATCATTACTTAAGAGTCACCATATGCTAAGTGTTACATACAACACACACACAGATATGCTATGTAGTCTACATCAAAATGACAGTTTATATAACAATATATGCCTGCACTTAATTCTTACCAATAACACTTAAGTAGGACAAATAAATGGCATTTTCAGTTCCCAAACTAAATTTGTGATGTTAGGCAAATCAACTCTCAAAATAGTTTTTAATGTGGCAATTAAACTAGGTGATGTGAGAGACTCTAACTATAATTAAATAACATCTAATTGCTAGGAACAAAAATTCATCAGGCACAGGTGCTAGAGATGTATTATACTTTAATATACAGTAAAACCTCATTAATTTAGACACTGCTAATTTAGAACTTGTAACCAGTTGGCATGGTTGCTTCATATGTCACATTTTTAATATTTAAGAAAAGAAGGATTGTTTAGACTGTGCAAAGAAAAGTCTACGAATATTTATTTAAACAGAGCAAACTTTTAAAAGGATCAGTGAGTACTTTATTAGTTCTGGTGTATGTAATAGACTGGAAGGGTTCATTAGAAACGTTCTTACCTAAACACAGAGTCACAGATGGACTTAGGATAATGCCACAAGCAGGGCAGGAGAAGGGACTAAACCTTTGCAGAGGATCTCCTAAGCTCATTCATTTCAACAAAAAGCTCTTACCAGCTCCCATCTGAAGCTGTGTAAAGTATATGCATCTTGCTAGTATACTAACCTGATTTTAGGCTGTATTACTGCAGACTTAGGCAGGGCAAGGTGTTGGTCAGGCCAAAGCTGAGAGCTAATAGTTTACAAAACAAAATTAACATGACAGAAGGGCAAAACGAAATCTCTGGAATTAAATTTTTATGTGGCACTATTCAGATAATTTGCAAAACTTCAAGATTTTCCAATTACAGATTTTATGTCTTTCTCACACCCTGCGCTTTCTGTTAGTCCTGCTTTTGGCTTTGGCTCCAAAGTGAAATGGACTTTTTGGGTTTTCATCCATGGCGGATGAAAAATAAAACCTTTGAATGAAGCATTAAATGGGATGCTAGTGTGCCTGCCACACATCCTTTCCTCTGCCCATTCATAGCCATCTATCCATTGCCTGGAAAAGAGGAGGAAAAGCTGGGTCATTTGTCTTAAGAAAGTCATAAGGAAAACTGATGATCCAATTCAGAGGAAATTAAAAGGCAACAATGTTGCTCCCAAGGCACCATGGGAAGTGACTTCATACAGCCTAGGAAAAGCACACTTAGCTGGAGTTCAGGATTTGTGTTCTGTTTTTCACTCTAAAGTACTATTTCTCTTTGCGCTGATTCATTTGTAAGCTGAAAACACAATTTTTAAAAAGTCTTGAAGAGTTGGACTTCTCAACAGTTTCTTCCATTATATGTTGAGTCTCCTGTGGAAATAGTATTGTTAGTCCAAAAACATCCCCAGAAGGTAATTGGGCTAATCTCAGGGTATCTGGAAAAGTATTACAGAACATCACCAAGCAAATGCTGCATTCTTTTCCTTCTATTTAAATCTGCAATAGAGACAGACTTTATTCATTTTATACTCCTTCCAATAGGTCAAGTACCAAAACTTTTAGTATGAAATAATTATTCTTATTTGCAATTTTATGAAAAATATAAGTACTATTTTGCAACCCTAATTTTTTTCTTATAACCGCAGATAACTGACCTAACCACTGTGAAGACATAAAAAATTCATTCTTTAGTTTAAATAGGTAAGCCCAAAATATGCTGTGACGATTTATATCTATAGTGGTGTTTTTCCCCAATCTCAATCAAATAAAAATATCAAAATATCCACACTAGAGCTGATTTTATCATCTCAAAGCTTTCTTTGGCAGAAATAAGTGTGGTCAAAACAGAATTACTTAATGCTACTTGCCATTCTGTGTCCATGGTTAAGTTGCTCTCTGTCTCTGTACAGCAAAGCCTAGACTGATAAAAGGAGGTATGTCTGCTTATTCCCTGACAGTACAAATCAGTAAAGGAATATACATGAGTTCTTTTGAAAAGACTTTGTAAAAATTACAGCGCTTCAGAGTGCATGCTGACCTCTGAAGGAGGGGAAGGAAGCAAGATTCCTCTGTCCTTCCTCCCTGTCCACTCTGTGTCTTTCCAAAGGAGAGTGATATACACTTAACAGTTCAGACGCTAGGACATACTAGGTCTATGTCACAGAATGGTTCCTGTTTACTAGTGGGCAGGGTCACTGTATAGTCAAAGGTCATATAAACCCGATGCAAGGGTGAGCATGGTGCTCCTTCTCTCTATGCAGCTGGAGTGATTTTAAAAAAGGAAGGGTTATGCTATGTTCTAAATCATACATCTTCTGCTGCTCTCTTCTCTGCCCTCGTTTGTGCTCCTATGGAGTTGACCAATGACAACAGCTTGAGATTTCCCTTTGTGTTCAAGAGAGATGGAAGAGTCTTGCATTTGGCTAGATGACATTCTTTGCCCCCAGTTTACAAGAGTTCTGACCTGCTATTTTGTACATTCTTAGTTACACATGCAATGTTACTGTGCTTTCTTAAACAGCTTTCCTTGTTCACTGGTCTCCTAAGGGGACACCATGAAGTGGAGTGGTATAGTTGGGAAGAAGATATGAGTATTCTTAGATCATTTGCCATAAAATATCTAAGAGCATCCCATTCTCTTCATCATTTCTAAAAGTGTAGTAGAGAAAACACTGGATTGGCAGTCAAAAGACTGGTGGTTCTAATCCCAGCTCATATATAAACTTGGGTAATCACTTTACCTCTGTAATACTCTATTGCCTTATGTGTAAAACCACCTATTTTACAAAAGAGCTCCTGTGAACATCAGATTTCAGAATGTATAAGAAAGCCTTTTACACTATTATGTATAAACACCATTTATTTATAAGGTGCTATTATATATTTAAAAGGCAAATTCACTTCCAGCAAAACCATCTGTCTTCTCATCTATAAATGTGTCAACAAGGTTGTTACAGGGACATGGGGGCTGCAAATGGTTCTGACTAATTGTCTGAGGGATTCAGTCGATCAGTTGGCTGTTTGCTCTCAGTGGCACAAAAGAAGCAGATGGACTGCTTCCTTCTCCCTGACTAAACCTGCTAATTGTTTTGGCAACTAAGCCTTCAAGAGATTAGAAGTTAAACTAAGCACTACTTAAAATCATCTATGTGTGACTTGAGAGCTATCCAATAAGCATAGACCCTTCTTCAAATGCTAGTAATATCATCATCATGGTGACTGTTTTTGTTTGGGGCTGGGTCAGGCTAGGGGTGTAGTTCACACAGAATTTCAGGTGCCTGTCCTGGATAAAGGGTGAAATATTGGGAAAAAAAAATCCTCTTACCAAATATTCAGGAAGAAAGAATTGTATCTGTTTTACCATAAAGTGGAAGTTCAACAGAATGAATTGATAAATAGAAACTCAGGCACATTAATTGTAAATAAGTTTCTGAATTTAAATTCAGCGCTCCTGAGTTCTAATAACTTATTGATAAACTTTGTAACATGAACTCAAGTCAATGCAGTCATAATTGTTAGTTCTTACTTTCTTCCATAATACATATATTAATACTAAATTCTTGACAAATGAAAAGGGAGGTAAAAGGAAGACAGAGAAAACTAAGAAGATTCCTTACTATTTGAGGTATACATAAAAGTTAATTTTTGTCCAAAAAGTATAAATACACACATCTCTACCATGATTCAAATCTTTGCTTCTCAAAATTACTCTCCAGTAAAAATTTAATATTCAAAAAGTGATATTTCACTGAAGTATTTCCATCTGGGAATGCCTGTTTAGAAATTAGCCCAAGTAAATCCATAAATCAAAAAAGTGGGATATGTTTTAAAGCCTTCACCCCCAAAGAATTCCATAGATCATTAGTTTCTACAAGTTTCAAACCTAAATATTGATCTAAAGCAAACTAACCTTAAACTATGGGTTTAAATACTCATTAATAAGGTGACATTTTCATTCGGTGTAAATGTTCTCTTATATAATTATGCATTGATTGAGGCTATGGAGAGAAGAGAACTAGGCAAAAAAGTGTTTAAATATTATGATTATCTGAAATGTCCATGTTTCTGTTAAGATATTACAAAACTTTTAATCATCAGCCATCAATTTGGCAAAGGAAAGGATTAACAAAACAATTCCACCCTTTCTTTTTGTATTTAGCCACTTTGTGCCAGCTTTTGATTAAACAGTCCCATTTAATACCCTACCAAGTTGTCATCATCAGGAAATAAAATTTTCAAAATTAGCTGACTATATAGGTCATATAATGTACTATGCATGGAAAATTAAAGTTTCGTTTTTGCACAATTTAGCTGAAGGAAACCTGTAAACTGCTTCTTCCAGATCTTACATCTGGCATCACATTGCCGATTCTTCAGAGAAAATCCTGAATTTCTTTATTCAGTTCATGTAACCAATAAGGAAAATTAACTGGTAAAATTAAGAAGGTCTGAGAAATCCCACAAGGTCCAGGTCTCAGCCTGAGGGAGGAAGGTTCTTCCTGGGGTCCCCTACCTCAGCCCTAATGGTAGTGGTGTTACCAGCCCTCTGATGTCAAAAGACCACCTCTTGGACACTTGTACAGGCCCAGTTGAAGGGCTGTGTCTCAACGGGTGTGAACTAGACAGAAGCTGACCCAAGTTCCTGAAAAAGCAACTGAAGCGAACATTACCATGGTGGCCTATGAATGTTATCCATAAAGTGACCAGTGAACGTTAGGTTTCAGTATTTAGTGGTGAGGACTTCAGCTACCCTGGCCTTCGCCTTCATGGAAAAAGGAAAAAAAAAAAAATAACAAAAAGCAAATGACCAAAAGCAAGGAGGGCAGACACATCTGATCAAATTAACCCCTCAGTTTCAGTGATGCCTTTTTATATCTGCTATTATGATATTTTGTAAAGTTCTCTTTAATTCTTGTCAGTCAGTCAATCTCTTGATACTCTAATCTCCTATTACAGTTCATAATCTTTATATGCAACTTTCTATCCCAATTACTATGTGATTTTTCATTTCTGATTGGGCTCTGACCAACTCAACATCTTTGAATACACTTTGACTTTTTAACAATAAGGAATATATTTGTAATTGAACAAAAACCAATAAAATTTTAAGGCAAAAAGTGTATAGGTAAAAAAATTCAGAACCCTATTATACATTGGTTACTTTGAGATAATCTGCCTCCAAGTTGTGTCACCCCCTCAGGATGCCAGGAGTTAAATTCATGAAAACATGAATTCATACATACATGCCTTGTTATCCATTTGTACCTGATGTGTGCGTAGCATTAAAAACCAACTGAGTCAACTATCTACTTGAGCATCAGCAGTGAATGTTATTGCTATGGTCTGAATGTTTGTGTCCTCCCAAGCCCTCCCTACCCCCTCCAAATTCATATGTTGAAATCCTAACTTCCAAGGTGATTATACTAGAAGGTGAAACCTTGGGGAGGTGATTAGGTGATGAGAGCTCTGCCCTCACAAATGTGACTAGTGCCTTTACGGAAAAGGCCCCAGAGAGTTGCCTTGTTCCTTCCACCACTGAGATCACATTGAGAAGACACCATCTGTGAACCAGAAGGCAGGCCTTCACCAGACACTGAATCTGCCAGAGCTTTGACCATGGACTTGCCAGTCTCCAGAACCTTGAGAAATACATTTCTGTTGTTTATAAGTCACCCAGTTTATGGTATTTGGTTATAGCAGCCTGAACAGATTAAGACAATGATGTATCTTGTATATCTTGTGTTGTAACATTACATATGTTGAGATATTATTCAATGTCTTAGTGTTTAGCAAACATAATCTAATTTTCATTAGAACAGCTAATTCATGTCTGAGATCTTTGTTGAAGCCCCATTAATTCCAGCACATGTTTTATGAGCTCTTATTGATGTGCTGTCAATAATTCTCCACAAAGGATTCCATGATTATGATCTCATGAGAAGGTGCTACTCCAGCCAACATAACTCGGCCAGGAAATTGGAGGAAGCAGTTTCAGTGATGACTTCCTTCCATGAAGCTGTTTTTATATGACCAGGCAGGGACATTCAAATGGATATTTAGTTTCAAGAATAATTAAAGCCCACTTTAAGAAATACATTTTCCCATGAAAAATATTAACACACTCTGAATATGAAAGACTGCAATTGGAATATTCGGGTTAACAGAGTTTTTCAACAACCTCAACCTTTCATTTTTTTCCCATCATGCAGTTGGTTAGCGAACGTCTGTCTCCTGAATAGGTTCAGTTCATTAGTACCTCCTTTCAGTGCATCTTGTTAGAATAACTGTCACAAAGTACATTATAAAATAATGAAAGGGAATGAGTTTAAGTGGCTTTAGCCAAGTATTTTGGCCTATATGAGAATGCCATTTCTTAATCTCACTAATGATAGTAATTCATAAGTTCATTTTGAATGCACTGGCTTGTGGAAATATATTTTTTAAAGTATGAATCATTGAAATCCAGCTATAACCAAAATAATTTTTGAGTTTAACAAAAAGCTTAGAATATTACCTAGCATGCCTTGGGAAACTAGAGGTATGAATAATGAAATGGCTCAGAATGTCCACCTTTATTATGAGTGGCCCTTTTCCTTGGTTCTGTCCTACTTGAATATGAGGCTTTTGGTGTTCTGCCTTTATTGAGCATCAACTTTGTATAACAAGGTAGAGTGACCCAGGTGGGTAGTGTTGTGGTAGTTTTACTCTCAATAATTACATTAATGAGAAACAAGTTAATTGCGACTTCCAGTTGCAGATGCCAAAAGCTAACTCAAATCAGCTTAAACAAATAAGGAATATTTAGAGCACCTCTTGGTGGAAAAGTCTAGAATGGTGCTCATTTCAGAGTTGGCCACGTAGATACTCAACCTTTGTGAGGAAGATTTCATCTTTCTCTTTCCCATATCTCAGTTCTACTCTTTTCTGCTTTATTTTCACTCTCAAGAAATTTTCATGTGTGAAGTGGTTCTCTGAAGCACCAGGTTTGCACTCGGCCAGTTTTAAGTCCAGCAAAAAGACAGTTTCTTTTTACCAATATATGTACCAAGGTTCCAGGTCTGAGTCTCACTGGACTACCAGGGGTCACAAAACACTTGATTGGCCAGCCATACTTGATCTACAGAGCATTGGGTAGGATAAGCACCAACCAGATCATAATGACTCCTCCAGAGAAAAAAATGAGCTACTCTATGGGAAAACTGGAAATAGAAATTGAGCCAATACAAACAAAAGTTCTCCATTCCCAGAAGCTGTTATTTATTTTAGCGAAGTATGAACCTGGAATGCAATTTTTAATCCCCACAATACCACCTATTTCTTAGAATCATTCCATGTTATTTGCATATGAGACATTTGGTGCTGAAAAAAAATTAAATAACACGCCCAGAATTTTATAACTGGTAGGTGTTAAGGCTGCTATCAATATAATAGAGACAAATTATTCCTCCTGAAGAGCAACAGTTCATTTAGTCATAATCTCTAAGATGGATTTCATAACCAATGTGTGAGATGTGGTAAGATATGGTGAGTGGAGATGTTTAACTCAAAAAAATTCATCGGTTGGAATAAAATAAGATTTCTACCTAATTCGCTGAACTCAAAGTCTCTCCACAAAGTTGCCATATGTGAGGAAATAAAATAGTTAAGATCCTTAGAGAGCAGCCCCTTCACCTTGAACTGAGGTGAAAATGCATATTGGCCTCTAAGAGCAATACCTTCAGAACTCCAGCAAACGTGTATATAAACGTGTGTGCATACAAGGTGGGGGCAGGGGTCAGGAATGAGTCAAGCGTTTATTACAGACAATGGAGTTCATCTGTGCTCCTCACTAATTCATTCAAGGATCTCTACTGAGCATGTACACTGCCAAGGATTCACAGAAAGCTGTATCAAATAGATGTCAAACTACATTGTTTGAATCAAAAGTCACCTGCTCTGCCACTTTGCCTTTATGTGATTTTCAGTGACTTTGTAATCAGAGGAAATCTATGTATATTTACAGCAAACACCAATGACATTGGTTTTTTTGTTGGTTTCTTTGCTTCTCAAGGCCGAGAATAAAATGTGGGAGAAACTAACCAATGAGTGAAAATGTGGGTAGTGATGACTCGACTCTATCTTGAAAGGCCAAGCAGAGCTTTGGTGAGCCAGGTGAAAAGTGGAGCAGTGTCACTTGGGAATGACTCAGAAACCAATCTTTTTGGAAATAGAAAAATGGGAACTGTGGGTGCACAGCATGTTGGATGAACTGGTGCTTTTTTATACTTTCATTGCACTCAGAGTTGATGAATCCTAAATACTCTCCTTCGGGTTAGCATCGACAGTTTTATCTCCAAAAGAGGAGATACTCAACATATGAAGGTGGCATCCCTGTTGCTCCCCGCTCCTCAAGCCCTATATATATCTTCAGGGATTTAATGTGAAAGAAACCTAAATCTGTGTGCTTGGAAAGCTGCCATAGAAGCAACTTCCCTCTGAGAATGCTGTCGACTTCTCTCATCACCCACGAAGTCAGTATCTAGCTTCTTTCTGTAGGAGGCCAATTCCAAATGCAGTTTCCAAACACCTGCCACTGCTGTTCTTTGATTTCACTCTCAAATGCCATAGTGGGGAATCTGTTCAAGCAATCACCACCCCAGCTGATAACCCACAGAAATATCAGCTGCTGGATAATCTGTATGTATTCTTCCATCTCGTTATGTTTTGTGGAGGTACGGTGATATTCAGCAAAGCGAGACTCAGCAGTGAGCAGTGATGAACAACAGGGATCTCCTGGCTTGAACTCCACAATTACCATTGCTTTTCTGCCAGTTTCGGTCTTTTCTTCTTCCTCATATTTCCCTCATTTTTTCTTGTCAGTAAAATGGGAATTTATTTAATGCTCTAGACATTAAAAATTGGAGTGAGACCACAGACAAAAAAGATGCAAGAAGATGTATGTAAGCCCTATAACCTTTGCTTCATTAAAAAAATAAGGTCCTTCTGGTATAGACAGTTTCAAGACCTTTATCCTGGAAGTTCCAGTATAAAAGCACTCATGAATTATTATCATGCTGCTTAGGAATGTGTGGCTTTTTCAATCTACAGATTCAATGCAATTCTTGTCAAAATACCAATGACATTCTTCACAAAAATAGAAAAAAAAATCCTAAAATTTGTAGAAAACCATGAAATACCCTGAATAGCCAAAGCAACATTGAGCAAAAAGGACAAAACTGGAGGTATCACACGACCTGACTTCAAAGCTATAGTAACCCAGACAGCATGGCATTAGTATAAAAACAGACACATAGGCCAATGAAATAGAATACAAAACCCAGAAATAAATCCATGTATTTACTTCAACTGATTTTCAACAAAAGCACCAAGAACATACATTGAGGAAAGAACATTCTCTTCCATAAATGGTACTGAAAAACTATATTAGACTAAAAAGCTTTTGTACAATAAAGAAAACAATCAACAGAGTAGAGAGAAGCTGTAGAATGGGATAAGATATTTGCAAACTATTTATCAAATAAGGAACTAATATCCAAAATATACAAGGAACTCAACAGCAAAAAATAAAAAAAATTAAATAAACTCATTAAAAAATGGACAAAGTATCTGAAGAGAAATTTCTCAAAAAAGATATACAAAAGGCCAGCAAATAAATGAAAAAATGCTCAATGTCACTAATTATCAGGGAAATGCAAATCAAAACCACAATTAGATATCATCTTATCCCATTAGAACAGCTACTATCAAAAAGACAAAAATTAACAAATGCTGGCAAGGATGCAGAGAAAAGGGAACTCATATATTGTTAGTGGGAATGTAAATTAGTAGAGCCATTATGGAAAGCAGTATGGAGATTCCTTAAAAAACTAAAAATAGGCCAGGTGCAGTGGCTTATGTCTGTAATCCCAGCATTTTGAGGGACCAAACAGAGAGGATCACTCAAGACCAGGTGTTCAAGACCAGACTGAGAAACGTAACGAGACCTCATCTCTACAAATATTAAAAATTAGCCAGGTGTGGTAGTGCGTGCCTGTAGTGCTAGCTATTTGGGAAGCTAAGGTGGGAGGATCACTTGAATCCAGGAGTTTGAGACTACAGTGAGTTATGGTTGTATCAATGTACTCCAGCCCGGGTGACATAGCTACTAAAAAAAGAGAAAAAAAAACCCACTAAAAATAGAATTACCATATGATCCAGCAATCCTGCTATTGTGTTACTTATGCAAAGGAAAGAAAATCAGTATACTGAATATCTGCACCCCCATGTTTATTTCAGCACTATTCACAATAGCCAAAATAGAGAAGCAACCAAAGTGTTCATCAATAGATGAACGGATAAACAAAATGTGATACACAATGGAATACCATTCAGACATAAAACAGAATAAAATCCTGTCACATGGGGCAATATGAGCCTGGAGGACATTATGTTAAGTGAAATACATCAGGCACAGAAAGATAAATACCACATGTTCTCACTCATATGGGGGAGCTAAAAAAGTTGAGCATATAAAAGTAGAGAGTAGAATTGTGGTTATTAGAGGCTTGTGAGAGTAGCAGGGAGAGGAGGATAGGGAGAGGTTGATTAACATATACAAAATGACAGTAGATAGGAGGAATAAGTTCAGTGTCCTATAGTAGTATAGGGTGACCTTAGTTAATAATTATTTATTGTTTATTTTCAAGTATCTAGAAGAGAGTTTGAATGTTCACAGCACAAAGAAATGATAAATGTCTGAGGTGATAGATATGCAAATTACCCTGATTTATCACTGCATACTGTACACTTGCATCAAAAATATCACTCTGTATCCTATAAATATGCACAATTATTAAGGGTCACAACTAAAAATAAAAGGAAAAAATGTATGGCTTTTCCAGTCTATAGAGACAGAAAATATATTAGTAGTTACTTGGGCTAAGGTTAAGAAGAGACAGTAATTGCAAAAGGGCACGAGGAACCTTTCTGGGATGATGGAAAGGCCCTAAAGCTGAGTGTGGACTTGGCTGCACCCTCTGTAAATTTATTAAAAGTCATTAAATTTTACCTTTAAGACAAGTGGATTCTATGGTATATAAATTATATCTCAATAAAGCTGTTAGCAAAAATCAAATAGATTGGCCGGGCGCGGTGGCTCACGCCTGTAATCCCAGCGCTTTGGGAGGCCGAGGCGGGTGGATCATGAGGTCAGGAGATCGAGACCATCCTGGCTAACAAGGTGAAACCCCGTCTCTACTAAAAATACAAAAAATTAGCCGGGCGCGGTGGCGGGCGCCTGTAGTCCCAGCTACTTGGGAGGCTGAGGCAGGAGAATGGCGTGAACCCGGGAAGCGGAGCTTGCAGTGAGCCGAGATTGCGCCACTGCAGTCCGCAGTCCGGCCTGGGCGACAGAGCGAGACTCCGTCTCAAAAAAAAAAAAAAAAAAAAAAAAAAATCAAATAGATTAAAGCATGGGTAGATTGACAGATATGTGTTAAAGCAAATATAATAAAAGGATAATTGTGTAAGCTATGTGTTGGTAATGAGTTGTTCATTTGTTCAATTTTCTACCTTTTTGAGTATTTAAATGTTTATAATAAAATGTCAGAAAAAATACATGTGTACAAAAATTTGTATCTCTATGCTTGGTGGAAAGGATGGACCTTTCAATTTGCATATCCTGTATAAATACAGGAACATACACATGCATTTAAATAAACAAAAAATGTAAACATATAAAAACCTTCATTGTCTTTGATAAAAATACACTAAATATGACTAGTGATTAAAGAAGGCACTCAGTAAATAATGATTGAATGATAATTAAATAGTTATTTATCTGTTTGAAAAATGGGCAAAAGATCTGAACATTCATTTCTCAAAAGAAGACATACAAATGGTCAACAGATATAAAAATATTCAACATCACTAATATCAGAGAAATGCAAATGAAAACCACAATGGGATATTGTCTCACCCCAGTTAAGTTGGCTTTTATCAAAAAGACAATAAATAACAGATGCTGACAAGGATGTGGAGAAAGAGGAACCCTCATACACTGTTGGTGACAATGTAAATTAGCACAATCACTATGGAGAACAGTATGGAGGTTCCTCAAAAAATTAAAAGTAGAAGTAGTATATGATTCAGCAATCCCATTGCTCATTGTATATCCAAAGGAAGGAAAATCACTATATTGAAGAGATATCTGCACCCACATGTTTATTGCAGAACTATTCACAAGAGTCAAAATATGAAATCAACCTAAGTGCCCATCAATAGATGAATGAATAAAGAAAATGTGGTACATATACACAATGAAATACTATTCAGCCATGAAAAAGAATGAAATCCTGTCTTTTGCAACAACATGGATGGAACTGGAGGACATTGTGTTAAGTGAAATAAGCCAGGCACAGAAAGACAAACATGGCACATTTTTCACTTATATGTGGGATTAAAAAAAATTGATCTCATGGAGATATAGAATAGAATGACGGTTATCAGAGTCAGGGAAGGTTCATTGGGGGGTTGCAGGGGGGGATAAAGAGAGGTTTGTTATGGGTACAAAAATATAGTTGGATGGAATAAGATCTAGTGTTTGGTAGCACATAGAGTGACTGTAGTTAACAATAATTTGTTGTATATTTAAAAATAACTAGAAGACTAGAATTGGAATGTTCCTAACACAAAGAAATCAAAAATGTTTGAGGTGATGGATATCCCAATTATACTGATTGGATCATTACTTACTGCATGCTTGTGCTAAAATATCCCATGTACCCCATGTACATGTACAACTCTTGTGTATCCATAAAAGTAAAAAATAAAAATTAAAAAAAAGTTACTTATTAAGCCATCACCATAGGTCCTGTGCTATTCTAAGGATTTTACATACATCATCACATTTACTTGTCATAAACGGCTGTTTGAGGCAAGCATTATATATCTCTCCGTTATATAGATGAAGAAACTGAGCCTTAAGGGGGTTAAACTACACATGTAAGTAGAGAAACTGGAATCCGAAACAGGTCTGACATCAAAGAATTGACAACTATATTTCATTCCAATGAATGCACATTGAGAGCTGTTCATATGACAATGATCACAATTTAATTAGTCTAATTTCTTCTTCCCACCTACGAAAAAGTAATGATTAACCATGTGAAGAAAACGTCAACTATGTTATAATCATCTTGGCCATGCTACAGTTCCAGCCTATGTTTCCACATTTCTCATTTCTACATTAGAAAAGTGTTTTGCATCATTTGCCAAAAAAAAGCCCACTCCAAAACAAAACAGTGCCTTGTGCTACTACTTTGATTATGTTGGGATTTTTAAAATCCCATCTCAACCACAAACCAGTGAAAATGGTTGAGCGATGACATTTTAGACAGTAAAGCAGCAGGTATTTTTTCTGTTTTAGAATAAGATATCTTAGCAAGAATTTCTACTTTTTCACCTAGCATATAAGGATTTGTTATATATGTTTATTTCACAGAGGTAAAATTCTTATTTTTGAACGTTGTAAAAACATGAGAAAGAGCAATAGCAGATCTTAGTTATCTGCTTGACTGCCAATGAAGAAAATCAGTGAGGAAATACTCACTATGACTTCCAAATCTACTCCAACACAAAATGCTGCTAAGACTATTGTGCCTATCTGGTTCAAAAATCACAAGTCCATAGCCAAGATTTCTTGAATTTGATGAAAGTGAAGCCTCCTGTTTTTTAAAAGTCGAGCCAGATGCCATATTTGGAGGGGGCAGATGGTGGGTGGTCAGGGAATCAGAGAAGTGAGTGGAAAACCATCTTGGGCAGAATGAATTCTTCAAGAGCAATCTTTGCTCTTTAAATCCCTCCCCCAGTGTCCCTTTTTTCTCCTGCTTTCTCCCAAATTTCTTCCTTCAGCCTTCACTTAACCTTAAGTATTTGAGCAAGGGCTCAATATAGGTGGAGGAAGGGTGCCATTCTCATCTGTTTCACTTGCAAGTTCAACACCAGATGAGATGTGGTTTTATTCCAGTCTTGGCATATTTCCCAAAGCTGGTTTTACTAAGAAGCAAAGAATTGTTTCTTTTAAGTCCATTAAACTTGCATATATTGAGAACTAGTAAATTCTAAACTTTGTGCTAGGCACCAAGACTACAGAGACAACAGGTAATAAACCTAGTTCTTGAAACATTCATAGTATAGTAGGAGAGATGGACAAGTAAGAAAATCAATAACTAAGCAGTCGAGCAGGAGTAAATGAAAGAAGTAAAAGTACACAGCCAGATGGTACTGCTAGAACAGAAAATATACAGTAATAATGTATTTTCTGCGGAAATATTTTTGAGCCTGATTATCATGCCTGACATAGCAGTTGATATTTATAGAGGTCTGCCAGGTATGGTGGCTTGCACTTGCAGTCCTAGCTACTTGGGAAGCTGAGATGGGAGGATAGCTTGAGCGGGAATTCAAGGCTGCAATGGGCTTTAATCGTGCCTGTAAAAGCCACTTCACTCCAGCCTGGGCAGCATAGCCAGACCCCATCTCTAAAACAAATTAATAAACAAAAATATAAAAATTAGGAAAAAGAACAGTATTTATAGAGGGCTTACAATATGCCAGGGGATGTAATGATGCTTTCCATGCATTATCTTGTTTACTCTTCATGATAACTCAATGAGTAAGTACTTTTATTCTCCCAGTTTTCACAGATGAGCAAACCTCAAATGCATCTGCCGAAACAGCCTGTGTTCTATCTTTCCATCCTGAGGGCTCAGCTACAAGCTACTTATGCACTTGTCAACCTGTCTCCAAGTTGCACCCTGGGCTGTTTTCTCCACAAGGCAGCTTCCAAAATAAAGTATATGCTCCACTCCAAGTTACGGCCAGTGATAAAAGATTTCCTTCTGGGGAATCACTTTTAACTTATAACGTACAGACCTTGCTCCATGGAGCACATGTAGTGGGAAAAAAATCATTTTAATAAAATGAAAAGCCCCAGATGCTCCCAATATTGAGTGATAAATTCACACCCTGTTTGGGAATTCACCACGGATTCAAGCCAGATCTGTATAGAGAAAGTTAATATCTCTGACCATAGTTGGGAGAAAAAAAGCCAACAGTCTAGTCCATAATATATAAGTGGTCAGCATTATATTTTCCATCTTCTATTCAGTCTTTCACTTAATTTCTCCCTTTGCATTTTGTGGTCTTTTGTGATTCAGTTTTTCCCCAATATGCCTGTATGGAGACTTGCTACATGGAAAGTGTCATTTTGAGTTTGAAGTACTCATTTTCCAGGTTTACCTAGAGGATGGACATAGGATGTCACCAACTTGGCAAGGCTTTGAAGGGTCTGGCTGAATTCCAGCCCACATAATTATGTTCTAATCTGTCTTGATTCCCTTTCCTCATTTTTCATGTAATGTTCTCAACACAGCCCAAACCATAATTTCATTGCTTTTTAGCAGGAAAGGAAATTAATGGATGTACTCTGAGATTATCTAATGACATATGATTTATTTTTAGTTCTAT
This sequence comes from Homo sapiens, assembly GCF_000001405.40. NCBI lineage: Eukaryota > Metazoa > Chordata > Mammalia > Primates > Hominidae > Homo > Homo sapiens. Next base: position 68,227,274 of record NC_000003.12, on the reverse strand, counting down.
TCCTGTTAGAGGAAACCTAAACAGAGATTGCTAGGATACAAGCTAATCCACATTCGAGAAATACAAATTTTTATGTGAATATTTGCATATGCTAGAAATATTTGCCTTGTGTTAAAAAACAAAAAAAAACAGACATTTTGAGATGTTTAAGGAATCCACCCCAGTAACAATGACTGCTTGACTCTTGGCTTTCAGCAGCTCATTGTTTCATTTGTGTGCATCTGGGCTCCCTTATAATAGTAAATGTTCTCTAGAGGACAGAGGCCAAATCAGCTTCTCTTATGTGCCCCACAACCCCTCGGCCAAGGCTACGTACCCTTTACTCCTCTGAACTGCTAGTCAGCTTCCTGGTGGCGCTCATTGCTGGTTGCTACCTTTTGCAAGTTTTGTCTTCCCAAGCTTGTGCTTGGCAGATGTGGTAGGGAGAAAAAGCACTGGCATCAGGATGGGGGCTCAGCTGGGAAGTGACCAGGCTCTGAGAACTATTGGTTCTCTGTCTTGAGCCAAATCACTTCTGAGCTTTCATTTGTCTGACTTCAAAAGAAAGCTAATAATTCATGCTCTGCCTACATCTCAGGGTGGTTGAGAGTCTTAAGTAGTATAATATACATGAAAGTACCTTGTAAAATGTGTTACACAATGAACATTAATATGAAGAAGAGGAGGGCAAGCAATGATGAGGCTGCCTCTCCCCATTCAGATTAGGTCCTTGAGGCCAAGGAGAATTTATCTCAAGTTTTATTTTCATTAACCACTTGTGTCTCCTATATTGGAACTTCACCAAAAGGCATGACAGACATGGGAGTATGTGAGAGTGGAGTGGAGAGGAGGGCAAGTAAATATTTTGAATTGATAATTCACGTATGCATATAAAATGATGTCCCTAAGAAACATGAGAGTCATTCATTTGAACATGAAGCACAGTGGTGGAAAACCTATGATTGTGATAATATGGTTGTTTCTCTCCCTTTGTTAATAGGCATGAAAGCATATCAGACACTTTGGAGCATATCAGCCTGCCCATGAGTGAATAGCATTGGCATATGGCACAAAATCATTTTATTTTCAGTTATACCCTGACCCCTTGTTTTTAATTGTCTGATCAAGCTCTAAGGAACAGTGGGAAAGGCAGACCCTTGAGACTGAGAAAATCACAACACTTTTCCATCAATCAGTCGGTCTTTCTTTGAACAAGTAAACTGAACTCTGAAAATTGGACCTGAATTTCAATTCTGCTAATGACTGCCTGCTGCAGGAATATTCTGTTTTGTGAAATATGACTCTTTAACATCATGTCTCAACTACAGGCTATAAATTTATGTATAACAAAATCTTATCTCTCCATATTGATGGTTTTCAAAGTGTTTTCATATGGATTTTTTTTTTTTTATGCTTACAGCAAACCTGAGATAGAGATATTGTTATTGCTTCATTTTCACAGATAGGTTATCTGAGGCTCAGAGACTTCAAAAAACATGCTCAAGATTACACAATTTTCCAAGTAAGAATAAAGACAAAGAAGAATTTAAGATGTGGAAATTCAAGCTTAGAGAAGTGAAATACCTTGCCTGACGTTTTATAATAAGTAAATAATAGAGACAGGACTTGAACCTGAGAAGTCTGACTCCACTCTGGCTACCTACTCTGCATGTTGGGTACCTGACTCAGGGCCTGGCACATAGTAAGTGCTCAGGAAATACATATTTCCTACGACTATCAGTATCCACACCTTGTGGTAGAGAGGGCAGACAAGATGAGAGGAGACATGACCTCTCCAAGGTTGCCAGCTGGCCTTCCTTCTGTGGCACCATATTTCCACCACAGGCAGGAATTATTAGGTAATTTATTTTGACTGTTGCTCTCTATGGATTCCTTTGGTGTGGGTAAATTTATTTTAAATAGATGACCCTATAAAAGTTGCTACGAATAAATGGGCACAAGTTCCGATTAGACATTGCAGGTTGTTGAAAACTTCCCATTCATGTCTCCTCTTGACATGAGAGTACACTAGGCTTAAACACAGGGAAATAAACTAACACTGAAACAAGTAATAAAGTGCCATGAGCCAGCCAGGTGTGGTGGCTCATGCCTGTAATCCAAGCACTTTGAGAGGCCGAGGCAGGTGGATCACGAGGTCAGGAGTTGAAGACCAGCCTGGCCAACATGGTGAAATCCCCGTCTCTACTAAAAATACAAAAATTAGCCATGCCTGGTGGTGTGCACCTGTAGTCCCAGCTACTCGGGAGGCTGAGGCAGAAGAATTGCTTGAACCCGGGAGGCAGAGGTTGCAGTGAGCTGAGATCCCACCACTGTACTCCAGCCTAGGTGACACAGCGAGACTCCATCTCAAAAAAAAAAAAAAAAAAAAAAAAAAAAAAGTGCCACAAGCCAAACGTTTTGGAAAAGTCAAACAGCAAGGGAGGCAATCACAGGCCCACACCTCCTGGCTCGTAACCCCCTCCCCAACTAAAAGTCTAGAATCTCCTTTTGCTCTTATTGACTATTTATATGAGCTAAAAGTATTTTAGAAGTTGTTTGGTGTAATTGCCTAATTTAAAAGATGGGGAAACTGAGGCCCAGAGCAATGAAAGGAACTGCCATAAATGAGAGCCTATGAGCTTCAACCAGGAGGGTGACTCTAATCACTAGCCTCTCTGTCCAGTGACCTTTGCTACCAACTGTGTATGGTCCCTCAAATGAAAGGCCACAGGCTAGAAAGCTTTCAGGAAACAAACACAATTCTCCAGGTTAATAAACCTCTAGTTTCTGGATTTCTAGAAAGCCAAAAAGTTTGCCACAGAGACTAAGATGAGATTAGAAGCCCTTCGGAATAGGTTGCAAAAATTTTACAAACAGAGAATTAAAATTTATTAATTGACTATGTTTTCCTCTGTCTGAGCCTGGGCCCTACAGAGTGGACAGATCAGTGTAACCCCTTATCCTTGAAGAAAAGCTAAATCAGCAGGTGTGTGGAGGGGAAAGGTCAGAGTTCTGAGGTGGAAGACACCCACTTGAAGGGCATGTCAGTACTCTTCTTAGTCTTATTCTATCTTATAAGGATGTCTTAAATTTGCCTACATTTACCTTTATTTACCAAAGACAATTCATACATGCATTTAAATCTTTCTAAAATATTTTACATTTTAAGTTGACTGTGAGAAGCAAACCAGAAAACATCATTCAGGGAGGAAGAAATAACCCACCCCCACCAAATACTAGCAGTTTCCCTCTACTTGCATGGTTGTTGGCTATAAAATCTGGGCTCAATAAATTTTATTCTCATTAACTGCATTCTAGATAAACAAAAAATCTGGATTAAGGTTTAGTCAAATTCATATACTTGATGTTGAGGTAGTCACATAAACATGGCTGTATAGCATTGCATTCAGTTTTAACTGCAGAAATTAAAATAAAGCATGGTGATTCCCAGAAGGCATTGATCAGTCACAGATTTCAGCCCAAGATTGCTAATAACTTCAGGTGTGCCATAAATTACTTTTGTCCTGATCAGCATTCATCATGGCCCTGAATACATAGCCACTACTGAAAAGACCCTGCCACTTGTCTAAATTTCCTTATCCCAACAGTGAACATGGGGAATAATCCCTTGAGTTGCTAAGTGTTTGACTTCCAAGGCTTGGAGGGTTTCCCACAGTTGCATATTGTGCCTCTCTGTAGGTAAAATTCTGGGAAGGCTTACATTTTTATTAGAAGGACATGGTGATAATAAAAAAAAAAAAATGGTCCTAACAGGCTTATGTACATACAGGCGTAGACACATACATACATATATACACACACACATATTCTGAAAAAAATTAGAAATTGTTTTAAGTTAGTTTTATTTCTATGACTTAGTTAACTTGTTGTAAATATTCAGTGATACTATTGAATAACACGGTGTATATAAAGTATTTAACATAGAATCTGAAACATAGTAAGTGCTCATTTATTGAAAGACGATTTTGAACGACAACTCCAGCTTGCTTATTGGCAGAGATTTCCTTTCAAGTATAAGTGGAAATATTGAGAAGTTTAATAAGCGATCTCAACCTTAAGTATGTTGGAAGTGTCTAAATAATCATTTAATAGGCCCTCAAGGAAATCACACTGATTATTTTGACAGGAAAGATGTTCACCCACTCTGAATACCTACCTAAGTCACCAAACTTGGCTCTGAAAGACTTGCTTTCTTCCAAAAAAGAAATCAAGCCTCAAAGCATTGTCATATTTGTGGGAAAAAAATGCCATAATGAAGAATGTTCAATAGAAAGTGATATTTTAAAAAACAATACTGGCCAGGCACAGTGGCTCATGTCTATAATCCCAGCACTAGCACTTTGGGAGGCTAAGGTGGGTGGATCGCTTGAGGTCAGGAGTTCGAGACCAGCCTGGCCAAGATGGTAAAACCCCATCTCTACTAAAAATACAAAAATTAACTGGGTATAGTGGCAGGCGCCTGTAATCCCAGCTACTTGGGAGGTTGAGACAGGAGAATCGCTTGAACCTGTGAGCCAAAATCACACCACAGCATTCCAGCCTGGTGACAGAGTGAGACTCCATCTCAAAATAAACAAATAAATAAATAAAAATAATAAAAATAAAAACAATACTCTCCACCCTCCCCAAAAACAGACATATTAAGAAGTATGGTTGATGATCCTCCATTAGAAAATATGTTTAATCTGCCACATTGAGATGGAATAAAGATCCTGTACAAATAAACTTGAGAAGTTAATTCAACCAAATTTATTGATCAAATAGATATTGAATACCTGCCAAGTAGAAACATAACTAAGCTAGTAACCCTGAAGGCAAGAGGAGGGGGATATATGAAGAAAAATGGTCTCACTCTTCATACAACTCAGAAAATGTCAGAGACAAGCAGGTAAAAGACCAATTCTTATTTCCTTACTTTTAACTCTGCAAATAAAGATATATCAGAGGAGGAAATAGGAAGGACAATATAGTGCTTTCCTGTCTGGCATAAAATTCATCTTGTGAAAGGAACAATAACCTAACGGCAATGACATCAGATGAAGTTTGCGCTAAAGGGCAAGACAAACTACATCAACTGTTTTTAGGCTTGGTTTTGTTCTTCTAAAAATGGGTGGCATTGCATGTGTTAACGTTTAACTTGTAAATCAGAACCATGATCATAAATAAGTAAGGCTTTCTCTTCTACTCCTCTCATCCTCAATAGAATTATGAAAGTATAATAAAATGAAAAAGTTAGAGGATTTTTGGTCTGCTCAGATCCAACAGTTATTCATCTTGAGGGAGTAAGCTCTCCACAGTTGACCCCAAAACACCTTCCAGGTGCCATTCCCTATTATATTTCAGTGTTCAACAAATACACCATGGATTTTCATTCTATTTCACAAATAAGTATCCAATTTTTGTGTTCAAATTATTTTGCAAAATGTGATTGTTAGTGGTGTCTCTGAAGGGATTAAAAGAATCAAATAGCACAATCAAATCATATTTATTATAGATCATATTCATTGAGAATCTCCCCCACAGTACATTTGCTCATTCTATTCTCTGTACCTAGATACCCTGCTAGTTGCAATACTATTGAACCTTGTTTGAAATGATTTTCAAAACATAAAAATGCTTTTTCTCTTTTCACTTTCTGACTTTTTGGAAATTTTACCCCAGTTGTTCTAGTGTATCCATCTGTTTGAGGGTGAAAGAGGAGGAATATTAGGAATTTAGGAACAGAAACAATATTGGGAGAAAGGTAACTTTTTGTCTGTGACATTTAAAAAAATGATATTGTTGCAAAACAGGCACCTTACAAGCCACCCTATTTGCTTAAGAAAATATTATCTAAGTTGTTGTATTTCTCATTTAATATATCAAGAGCCAATCTACTCTCTTATCAGAGTTGTATGTAGGGAAGATCCAGATAAGAGGAGGAATAGGGGCAAACCCATCCCCCCCTTTTTAGACCCTAAGAAATAATGGGAAGGAGAAAAGAGAAGGGAAGAAGAGCAAAATTGGGTCCCAGTTTTCTTTATCCTAGGTCAAAGTCCAGTAAGAAAAGTTAATTAGATGAGCAACAGTAATACTGAAGTCCACAAAAGAGTATTTGTTACTGGACCAAAATGGTCTACAGGCCACTTCCTGCACCAGTGGGAGGCCATGGTGAAGCAGAGGAGTGGCCAGAGGGAAGTCTTGAGGCTTTACTTCCCTGAGCTACACTTGTGTGACCCGTGGGACTTGAAGCTGCTAAGGATGTGGTTGGAGGCTTCTACAGGGGTGCTGTAACAGAAGTAAGATCATTCTGTTTCTGGGAACATAAAGCAACCCAGTTCAGCCAGGTCTTGATGGAGATCACAGCCAATCCTCAGAGGCATCTGTGGTGCCAGTGGGGACAATCTGAGGATGAGTCTGATAGGGAGAACCATGCACCGAGGGATGCTGAAAGAGATCTACTCAAGAATACTGTGAGTGACCCTTAGAGACAGCAGTGCAGCAAGAAAATGATGAAGGAATATTACTCAGTGAACATGAGCCAAAGAACACTGTGACCCAAAGACCACAATCCATCTTCTCCACAGAGACTGAGAGAGCCAAACTCCTTTACCCACACACCTGATGGCATTTTGTAGAGTATCTTGGAGGTGGTGATGGAAATCTGAGATACTGATCATTTTGTATAAGATAGTAAACTCCTTCCGAAGAAATTGTTTGAACTGACAGATTGGACAGAGCTGTAAATCGGAATGGACATCCATCAGTAGTTTTTTTTTTTCTTCTCTTCACTAATGAGTAGGTCTAAAGAACTTAGGGAGAAATAAGACCATATTAATTGTAGACAAATTAAAAGAACTGCACACTAAAGTTGTAATATGTGCTAAAGTTGTGAGCCTGCTTTTATTCCAGGCTCAGCATAAATGCCCCCTTATCTGTGAGATTTTATTCAGCTTGAATTAATCACTTTCTCATCTAAGTTCCATGAGAGCTCACTTTAGAACTGGCTTCATTCAGCCTTGTTTTGCAGACAATCTTTATATATCTTTGTTACAAAATTAAAAAGTATTTGAGGACATCTATCTCAGTGATCATATAAATTTCACATCTTGAGTTAATGAACCAAATGAATTTAGAAGCTAAGTGACATTCTTTTCTAATTAAGAATGTTTTGTTTCAAAGGTCTAATCCATGCTCTACAGTTCATATTTCGACTTACACAATTAATTGGGGACCTATGAAGCTTATAAACCAATTTATCATATTAAAACCTCAAAGGATTGGAGAGGACAAAACCTTCTTTTGTATTGATTACTGATTATTGTCTAGCAATTGTTTTTATTGGCCTAATATGGATAAGGTCTCCTATTTTTTTCTGGCAACTAACTATAATCTGCAAACATATAACCAGTGCTGAGACAAACTTGGTACCCATCCAGGACAGGCAGAATTTAAGATGCTCCCAAGGTTTCTGAACTTGGGTGTATACACCCTGTAAAATCTCTTTCCCTTGAGTGTAGGCAGCAAAAGTGATTATAATGAGATATCATTCCCTTGATTAGGTTACTAATCAGTTGACTTTGAGTTAATGAAAAGCAAGATTATCCTGGATAAATGTCAATCAGGTGAAATGTTTAAAAGGTGAAGCATCAGAGACATGTTCTCTGGAAGGCCTGGAAGAAAGCAAACAGCCCTATGTGAGAAAAGGGGGCCCCTTGAGTGCTGCCTCTAGAAGCTGAGAGTGATCCCTGGCCAACAGCCAGCAAGAAAGCTGATTGGATGGGCCTGGATGTAGAGGCCAAACTAGAATGAGAGTTTATAAAGACACCTGTGTTTATACACAACTGCATTGGAAAAGGCCAAAAGATAGGGTAACAGAGTGCTAAAACATGACTTTTTAAGCACTGTGAGTTCTAAACTATATTTTGATATTCAGTTCAATAATGTCTATATTAGTAAACTATATACAAAAGTAGATCTAACTGCTCTAGGTTTTATTTTGTTATAGTTTTTGTCAAATTAAAATACTTTTAAAAAGTGTCTTTGGGTTATAAGGAAACTGTTCTGGAGGGGAATATAAATGCATTTCTCACTGTCAAGCTATGCCTAAGATTTATTTTTTTTAAGATATAGTAGCTGTAGCCATATTTCCCTAGTGATAAAAAGAAATCCTCTTAGTAATCCCTACAAAATCCTAAAAGGCTAAAAAGCAATGAAGAGGATTTCTAATGGTAAGTTATAAATCCTTTTAGAGAACATCTTGGTTTAAAATAATTTCAAAAAAAAAAAAGAATGCTTAGGAATTGAGTAGTACTATTTAGAAATCCTTCAGCAATATCAAGGACACTCAAAAGGATTTCACATTCAGAGCTAAGATGAAATGAAGTTACATTTGTGATGGTCACGGATAGTAAGAAACTAAAGTTATCAAAGAAACAACACTATGGTCTCTTGGAGCTTGATGGAAATTCAGTGGCCATTTATTCAGCTTAACCCAAGTCCAGACTCTTCTCTACATGGGTGGTAGCAAGGAATGATCTCATCACCTCACAAGTCAATGTGTTTCTCAGGTTAATTAAGCAGAAATTTAACTCAATGCAAATTTTGATCTTTCTTACAAGTTTTGTTTTCCGGCATTCCAGAGAAGAAGCTCTACCTTTCTTCTGTCTGGATGCTTTTCCAGTATTTGAAGGTAGCAGTTACTGGTATTAACTTTCATAGACTGGATACCTGTAGGACCAGGTATGAAATACAAACAGACATAAAGATATGAGATATAAAGACACAATGGAGTGGTGATGACTGTGAGACTGACGCCCCATCGACTCATTCCTCATCCCCATACCGTGACCTGGGAATCAGTCACAAGCCAGAAATCTGGATTATCATGAATAAGAATATACTCTCTTTTAAAAGCTGTAATTAATTAACCTACATATTAAGAAATTACATTTGATCCTTCTAAGTACATCATTACATCAAAACATGCTATAAAAATGGAGACTTTAGAGCATCATTTATTTCTTAAAGCTGTTTGCCAGTCGATGTTGAGAAAAAAATCTGAAATCAACATCTATTTAAATACAAAGAAATGAAAATCTTGGGACCTTTCATCGAATTTCTGTAACTGTGACCTGAGAGGCTGGAATTTTCTACATTGAATTAATCCTGGAAAATTGAAACATCAAATCATGTGGGATGCCAATTAAATCTCCAGGAAACATATTGTGTAAAGATCCATTTGTCATAAAGATCTGAAGACATAAGAAGTGCTTCAGATGCTCTTCCCAGGAAGGCACACAGCATATGGCATTTAGTATATAATTTCAGAGGTTCCTCTAAACCTTTAAAGGTATTTATTTTATTCAAATCTAAATACCCTTCAATTATAATAATGATGATAATAAAATCTAACATTAGGCAAGAAAAAATAAATTTACTGTGAAAGCTAAATGAGATAGTAAGTGTGCTATCTCAGATTGTCTTTGTAAGAATGAAATAAATCAATACATATAAAGGGTTTGAAAAACACGTTATCTTAATTGTCATACTAACCCTCAAATTTAATAAAATATTTTAGAGCAGTATTAGATTTATAGAAAAATTATGAAGAGTACAGAGTTCCTATATCCCCACACAGCAGTTTCCTCTATTATTAATGTCTTACATTAGTATTAGTATGGTACACTTCTTACAATTAATGATTCAATTTCAATATATTATTAACTAAATAAAGTCCATGCTTTATTCAGATTGCCTTAGTTTTAACTTAATGTCCTGTTTTATTCCCCTGTTCTAGGATCCCATCCATCCAGGATAATTGAGCCATCTGTCTCTTTAGTCTTCTTGGCTGTGACAGTTTCTCAAACTTTTTCTTGTTTTTTATGACCTTGATAGTTTTGAGAAGTACTGGTCAGATAACTTATAGAACATTGCTCAATTTATATTTATCTGATTTTTTTCCATAATTAGACTGGGATTATGGGTTTGGGGGAGGAAGACCACAGAGATAAACTATGATTTTTATTTCACTATATCAAGGGTAGATAATATTAGGTTGGTGCAAAAGAAATTGCAGTTTTTGCCATTAAAAGTAATTAATAAATTACATTAAGAATAATGGTGAAAACTGCAATTACTTTTGTTTGTGTTAACTTGGCTGTGGTAATCTTTGCCAGGTTTCTCTATTGGAAAGTTATTCTTCCCCTCACTCACTTTTCCATCCTTTACACTTCAGAAGAAAGTCACAATGCAGAATTCATACTTAAAGGGCAGAGAGTTGTGCTCTCCCTCCTTGAGGGTAGATTTTCAATCTAAATTATTTGGAATTCTCCTGCATGGTAGATTTGTCTTTTCTCCTCCATTTATTTATTCGATCATTTCTTTATATCAGTAAAGCCAATGGATATTTATTTTGTACTTTGGCTTATAATCCCATATCACTTTATTCATTTTGTTGCTCATTGCTCCAGTGCTGGCTCTTGGGAGCTCTTCAGTTGGTTCCCGTGTCCCTTTGACTCTGCGATTATGGAGTGATGTCTTTTTTGAGCCTTTTCTTGCTTACTGGTACTACAAGATGCTCCAGACTCATCTTATGTATTTCCTGTCCCATTCCTAGAATTATCCAATTTTCCAAAAATCTCTGGTCTTTACAATTGAGTCATACTATTGGAAACTATGATCTGGGCACTAAGTGTGCTCACTGCTATGTCAAGGAAATATACGTGTATAACAATGCCGCATATATACACATTTAACCCATGCTTTTGTGGAATACAACTTTATCAACCCAATCTCAGTGCTTATGCACAGTCTTATTTTCCTTTAATTTTACAGACTACACATTTCCAAAATTACTAAAGTCAGCATTGTTTTCCCCCACTGCCTTCAGTGAAGGTGTTTTATATATTTTAATAGAATTAGGATTTTTAGTCATATTCTGCATTCATCTGGGATTCCCCTGTTCTTGAAAACGGTTTTTAAAAATCTGCAAACATTAAGGTCCATTGTATGTGCATTCAAGTTCAATGGGTTTTGACAAATGCGTTTTGTCATATGTCCACAATTAGACTATCGTACAGAGCAGTTTTTCTGCTTTAAAAAAATCTTCTCTGCTCCACCTATTCAACCTTGCCTCCTCCTGAACTTCTGGCAACCACTAATCTTTTTACTTTCTCTGAAGTTTTGCCTTTTCCAGAATGTTTTGTGGTTGGAATAATAGAGTAGGTAGCCTTTTCAGATTGGCTTCTTTTACTTAGTAACATGCATTTAAGTTTCCTCCATGTCTCTCTATGGCTTGATAGCTCATTTATCTTTTTGGCTGAATAACATTCCACTGGATGAGTGTACCACAGTTTGTTTATCAATTCACTGATTGAAGGACATCTTGGTTGTTTACAGTTTGGGATGTTTATGAATAAAGCCACTATGAACATGTGTGTGAGGGTTATTGTGTGGACATAGGCTTTCAAATCAGTTGGGTAAATAGCTAGGAGTGTGACTGCTGGATCATAGGGTAAGATTATGTTTAGCTTTGTAAGAAACTGCCGAACTGTCTTCTAAAGTAGCTATACCATTCTTTATTTCCATCAACAATGAGGTCCTGTTGTTCCACATTCTTGTCAGCATTTAGTATTGCCAGTTTTTAAGATTTTTGTCATTCTAATGGCTCATCGTCCCTTATCAGAAATGTATTTTGCACATATTTTCTCCCCAGTCATGGCTTGTCTTTTCATTCTCTTAACAATATCTTTCACAGAGCAGAAGTTTGTAATTTTTAATGAAGTCTAGTTTATTGATATTTTCTTTCATGAGTCATGCTTTAGGTGTTGTATCTAAAGACTTGTCACCAAATCCAAGCAAGATTACCTAGATTTTCTCTAACCTTCCATTTTTCAGAAATTATATACTTTATTTTTTCAGATGGAAAAATTGGGACGTGAAGATTAACTGGGCAAAGGCCACATAGCCTAAATTTCAGCTTAGATTGTCTGACCTCCAAATCCTGTACTCTCACCACATTTTTATGCTTCTTAAGCACCACACTGCTTAGTGTGAAGATTAAATAGAATAATGCATGGAAAGTGCTTGGCATATATTGAGTATGATCTATTTATTATTATTGTTCTTATTATTCCTCTTAGGCATATACATTATGTCAGGTTTTGATTTCAGTTATAACCGCATAAATTCACAGTGAAACCTCCTTAGCATACTGGGCTAATGATGCTTCATTGAATTTAAAGTAGTTTTATGGAGCTTTATATTGATATGATTAAATAATGCAGAAATCTGAGTGTCCTTCATTTCACAGATCAGCAACAGTATATACAACCTCTAAGCAAAAGTGCAACTTTCTTTCTTATTAAGACACTTGGACTAAAATTGTGGGGAACTCCCCACTCACTCAGTGGGGTCTCTCTTTTCTTCCCACTTAAAAAAAATTGATGTGTATTATTTAAAAAACAGGGACAATAAATTCTCCTTTGAATGTAATGAATAACCAAATACAGTATATGTAAGAGGAGGTAGTTTGAAAGGGCAAACTGCAGTTGCTGATGATAACTGTTAACATTTTGTGAGCTCTTTGTGTTAGACACAGAATCAAGAATTTAGCACATAATATCCTACTTAACCTCATTTATTATTATTATATTTATCTGAAAACCAGGAAATAGAAGCCCAGAAAAACTAAGGAACTTGCTCAAAGTCACACAGTGAGAAAGAAACGGCATGAGAGTGTGAACTCTGGTCTCTGTGAACCAGGAACCTGAGCTCTCGAACACTATGCTCCTCCAACCAATAGAAATCACAGAGTTAGGTGGCCAGAACTTAATCACACCAAATTTTGTGCAAAGGGAAAGGCCTTATAGTACCTAAGAAATTGAATGGGAGAATTTTAGAAGACTATATTAAAAGCTGTATCTATGCCATGTGGCCAGGAGAGTATCAAAGCATCACAGCTTCTATACTCAGAGATCAATTCCTGATTGGTTTAATAAGGAAATAACATTGTTTCAAGTGTGCTTGGCAAATTAAGGAAATGCCTGAATTCTATGATAACTAGAAAGCATGAAAAGGACAGACAAAGCATTTGGACCATGTTGAGTGTCAAGAGTTGTTGATGTATGTCAAGGAAAAGACCAATATCCCAGCTGATCCATTCCTTCTAACAAGCAAATCCAAGAAACCAATACTAATGTGTTTTACTAGGGTACTCAAAATTAACTGAGAAACAGCTTTGACACAGCCCAGTGGCATACTGCAGTAGACACATATATACATAGGTAATATTGGGAACCATATTGCCTACTTTGTAGTTAACTCTTCTGTATATAGTCTTTTTTTGTGTGTATAATAACCATCTGAGGTTAAGGCAGGCAAAAATCAAATAACTTTTTATGAAAGTCAAGGTTGAATTGATTCAATATTGGAAGAATGTGCTAAAGGCTCTACTGGCTTTAAGCAGAACTTTCCCACTGGCTCCAATGGTAAGAAGTTCTAAGCTGGGTACACTTTCTGATCACAGACATTTACTGTGAGTGCAATTACTAAACTGGAGGTCATTATGCAGAAAGATGTGGCATGTGATTTATTGTAATATACTGATAAAATTACTTGGAACACGTAAGGTGTGCATCTTCCTGGCTGGGTGTGGAATTTATGGAATCCACACAGTCTTGATGACATTTCTCCGAAGATCTAATATCTTTCATATACTCCAGGCCCTACCCCCTGACTCCACAGGGAGCTTGGGGGAAGAATACATGAAAGTAAAGGGAAGGTATCACTTTTGGTAATAGCACTCTGATTTCCTCCTGGGATATTACTTCTCTTAACTACATACAGCCAAGCCAGATCAATGAGCTCTCTTTTGAGATTTTTAATATTAAGCAGAAGGATGCAAAAGGGAAAAAAGACAACAAGAAAATAACGATGACATTCATTCATTCCAGAAGTGACAACTTGAAGAGACTATGAGCTAGATCTGGGTGCTATGTCTTAAATTATGGACACAGTTTGATTTTTCCCTTTTAAAGTTATTTTTCCAACATTTCCTTCAATTTTTCAAGTCTCTTGGTAGTCATCCAATAAATTCAGTTTCCACTTACATTAGCTGGAGTTGGTTTCTTTTTTACTGGCAACAAAGTGTTATAACCGATTATATCATCCAACAGAATCAACTACTGACTTCTGTTGAAGTGCAGAGGAGCTAATAACCTCACTACCTGTGTTATGTTTTTACTCTCTCTAAAATGATTAAAAAAAAAAAAATACCACCATTTGTAAGTTAAGTTAGCTGGGCCCAGAGGAGGGTTAACGCGAGGGAATGTGGCATATCCTGAGAGTTTCTAAAGATGACTTTTCCTCCTTTGGCTGGGACCGTGGGCTACAATCCCACCCAGCAGCTTAGTGTGTGATTCAACCACATAGCTGAGTGTGTCAGTGCAGCACCAAGTAAAGATCGCACATGGGTCAGGGATGAATAATTCCATGGCAACCATCCCCTTTCTCCAACTCTGACCACCATTGCCTCAACTTTTCACCTTGGCTGGCCTTATTTAGACATACTTTTAAAAAACTGATTGGCATATTGTATGGATAACACCAAGAAAAGGAATTTCAGGTAAAGTACAATTCTGAAAGGGGATAAAAGCTGAGAAAATGTAATAAAAAGGTGAATGGATACACACTTATACTGTATGAGTGATTCATGGTTTTAATAATGTTTAGTGGGAGGAAAGAAAAGTGACTGCTCATTGCAGGGGGAAGATGTCTCATTTGAAAGCCAAAGTCATCCGGACCTATAAGGAGACAAAAAGGGGAACAAAGATAATAGCAGCTGAAACTGACCCTCTATTTTTTAACTAGTAGCAAGACTGAGCATCCCAAAACACAAAGAATATCATGCTGCTTCTCTACTAAAAACTTCTCAATGGCTGCCATTAAATTTAGAAGTGACTCACAGAGCACTATGTGATCTGGCCTTTTTCTCTCATTACAATCTCATCTCTTACCCCTCTCCTCTCCACTTTGCTTCAGCCACACTAATTTTTTTTTTTTCGGGTCTTGAACAGACCAGTCTCTTTCCTGGTCTGATTTGCCCCTCCTCTCCCCAAGCAGCTTCCCGTCTTCATATTACAGGCTCATACTCAGGCTGTTGTTCTTGAGTCAAATGCTGTCTCTTCAGGAAAGCCCACTGTGGCTACCCTATCCTAGGTAACCTCCACTTACCACTTATTTTCCATCTCAATGCTTTTATCTTTATTATGAAGCTCATGGCAGTCTATTTACTTGATTAGAGTTTGCTATATAGTTTGGATATTTGACCCTCCAAGCCTAATGTTAAAATGTCATTCCCACTGTTGGAGGTGGGACCTAAAGAGAGTTGTTGATCATGAGGGTGGATTCCTCATAAACGGCTTGGTGCTGTGTCACTGTGAACAATGGCCAGAGTTCTTGCTCTGTTAGTTCCCATAAAAGGTGGTTGTTAAAAAGAGCCTGGCAACTTTCTTATCTCTCTCTTGCCTCACCTCTCTTTATGGATCTCTGCACACACCAGCTCCCTTCACCTTCTGCCATGAGTGGAAGCAGCCTGAGGCCTTCACCAGATGCCAGCACCATGCTGCTTATGCAGCCTGGAGAACTGTGAGCCAAATAAACCTCTTTTCTTTATAAATTACCCAGTCTCAAGTATTCCTTTATAGCAACACAAATGGACTAAAACAGAGTTTCTCCACTCTAGACTATATGCTTCATGAGGGCTGTCATTCTGTCTATCTCAATCACCACAGTATTTTTGGTACCCAGAAGGGTGACTAGCAGATGGTAGAATGTCAGTAAATATTTTCAAATATCCAAATTCAGACGGAATCATTATGAAAATGAAGGCATTAGTCAGTATGTTTAGAATCTTCTCTCTTAAATATATCCTTCACACCAGGAAAATGATTTAATAGTTGAGAATAGCATATAGAATATACACTTTGTAAGTATAAATTATGTGTTATACCTACATATTGGAGCCTCCAAGATGGGCACCAGTGATTATTGCCACCTGGTATTCATGCCCTTGTGCAGTCTTCCCCCACACTGAATGAAACTAACCTGCATAGCCGATAAGATATTGTAGAAATGATGGTGCATGATTTCGAGGCTAGGTCATAAAATACACAGCTAAGGCTGCCTTGTTCTCTCTTGGATCACTCGCTTGGGGGAGGCTAGCTGCCAAGTTGTGAAGAGACTCTAGCAGCCCCATAAAGAAGTCCAAATGATAAGGGACAAAGGTCTCCTTTCAATAGCCAGCATCTCCTTGCAAGTTAAGTGTGTGGGTTGTCTTAGCACTGGGTCTTCCAGTCCCATAAAGCTTACAGATGCCTGTAGCCACAGGCAATATTTGAATTACAACATCATGAGACAATGACCACAGCTGGAACCACCCAACAAAGCCAGTACTGGAAACTGTGTGAGATCATCAATCTTGTTTTAGCTGCTCAGTTTTGGAGTTTATATGTTATGTGGTAATAGATAACCAATATACTACCTCCAAGTGTGTGGAACATAGTAAACATTACAAAAAGGTTAACTAGCAGCAGGAGCTGCATCAGTAGTAGCAGCAACAGTAGGGTGGCTTACTGAATAGAGCTTGGGAAGAATGGGTACACGTGTTAGGCAAAAGACTGTTGAATATTTATAGTCTTTCTCAGCTCTGAGAAATTGAGACATTGTGTATTGCACATCAAAACAGATTCCCTTCATTATGCTAGACTGAAGGGTAAACATTGGAACTTTGAGATGATTCAGTGAGTCAGGTAATCCTGGAGGATATGATCCCTTTGGTAGTAAGTCCCAAGTCTATACCCACCAGACTTTACCTAATGGATGAGCAGCTAGCAAAGCCCTTGATCACAAGAGCTTATGTGTATTCACACTGATAACCATGGTGAGAATACCTGGCCTGTCAGGATGGTCCCCAGAGGCATCTGTAGGGCCAACTTTCATTTCAGAGGAAAATCTAAAATCCAGGCCTTCAGACAGCTTGGTTTTCCTGACTTGAGTCACCATATTTATGATGAAGCCTTATAAGTTAGATTTCATTTTCTTCAGGTTTTGATAACTGAATCACGCTTCTAAGGTAAAACAAATGGAAGGTGTTAAACAATAGAAAAACCTTCAAAAACAGGAGTTAGTGGTAACGAGAGACAGTTCCAATTATTTTCTCCTTTTCTCTTTCTCTCAAACACAAGCTCATTACAAACCCGGGCCAGGAAAAAGGGGAAAAAAATTGTGATGGAGTTTGGCACTTTCAGACCATGTTTAACTGTGTTTAGGAAAAAAAATTAAAAGTGATGCTGATGAGTTTAAAATATAGGCCCACAATTTCAGCTACTACGGGCTCCACATCTATAGATTTGAACTATGTATTTTTGATTTTCAATCTGAGACAATGAAGTATATATAAATTGTGTGGGTTTTATGCCTCTTATTATAGCTGTATTTGTATTACAAAATGAGAAAAAAATAAGTTCCCTAACTTAACAGCAAACATGAACAATATAATGAAAAAAAGTTTTAGTAATGTTGTAGTATTTGTTGATAGAATGATAGCATTTTAACAATTTAAAAAAGCAAAACCTATGACTGCAATTTTGAGTCAATGTCTAAACACATTGGAAGCCAGAAAATCACAGGCTGAAACTGCTGAGAACACATATAATGTAATAATGCATGTGGGAGACAGCAAATAAACTGGTTAAGAAGCAAGAAGGGACAATGATAATACGATATGCTACCCTCTTAACTTAATTGTCTACAAGAATCACAACATTTCTATGTTGCTTTCCATTTGTTATAGAGCCACATTATCCATTTTTTATCTAACAGTCTTGGAAATTACTGCTGTATAATGTAATATTCTGCATGGAAGGTTAGGCATGTTCCAGGCTGTATTAGTTTTCTATTGCTGAATTTAAAAATCACCACAGATCTAGTGGCTTAAAACAACACAAATTTGTCACTGCACTGTTTCTGTGTATCAGGAGGCTGGCATGTTTTAGCTGGGTCCTCTGCTCAAGGTCTCACAGGGCTGAAATTAATCTGTCAGCTGGCTGTGTTCTCATGTGGAGGCTTGACTGACTAAGTGAAGATGTGCTTCTGAACCCCTCAGGTTGCTGGCAGAATTCATTTCCTTGCAGTTGTATGGCCAATCATCCCATTTTTTTGCTAGTCATTGGGTGGGTTTCCCTCTTGGCACCCAGAGGTTACTCGCAGGCCCTTTCCATGTGGCCCCATCCATGAAATGGCAGTTGTTCCTCCAAGGCAAGAGAGAGGACATCTCTGCAGTGTGGAATTTCTTAGACATTTTGTCTCTTCCATTACACCTGTTTTTTAAAGGGCTCACCTAATTAGGCCAGGCCTGCACACACTCAAGAGGAGGCGCTTATTCAGAGCACACTAAGTAGTGAGAACCTTGGGGGCATCTTAGATCCATGCCTACCACCCAAGCATACAACTTGGAGGAAATTCTGCACAGCAGGGCAGCCTGAGCTACAGGCATATGCAAACAACCTGAAGGCCTGGCTTGGTCCTTTTTTTTCCTGTGGGGAGATGAAATCCCTGGGGCCCTGAAAAGATAGAGGTTAAAATATTGTTCAGGCCAACTGGCCTTACTTTCTTGCCAAAATGAGAATGAGGCCTTGCTGGATCTGAGTTTGGTTCAAAAACCAGAAGGCTCTATGTTAGAGCCAGTCCCTTAATGGAAGAAGCCAGATTGAGTAGCCTTGTCCTGATTGGTGACATAAGCCAGACTACAAAAATGCAGTGGTGGAAAAATGAGTCATTTCTTTTCTTAAATCTGGTGGGACCCTACATACACAGAAAATGCATCCCAGAAGTTTCTTGGGGCCAAAAGGAAAAGCTATGTCCAGGCTTGTCGCATGAAGTTACAGCTTGCTGTAACTACTTAGCTGAAAGAAATAGGAACCTGGCTAAAACACGACTCCAATCAACACGACGAGCTCTAAGGCTATAAACGCACAATGGACTCTGCTGATGCTGCATGTTATTGAAATAAAATGACCAGGTTTGTACTGGTGCATGGATCATAGGCAGAAGGAAGGAATAGCTTCCAAACGTCCATATCCTTCATACAGCAGTGATTACATCTTATCAAGAAAAATACTGTAAGGTTTTTAAAAAATAACCTCATCTTCTCTTTTTTCATACAATGAAAAATATAAACAGACAGGGTTTACATTCAAATGAATGTAAAGCAAAACAGTGAAGGGTCTTCCTGTTTCTAAGTCTCTGAGTCTATTGTTACTCCATTGCTACCTGCAGAAGGTACTTTTCCAATTGCCAAAATTATAGAATGAGACTGGTGATTAATAAAAGGAAGCGTTCTTTATTTACTGTGTGGCCTTGACTAAGCACTTTGTTTTCATCCTCAATTTTCTCTTTCAAAAAATGGGAATAACAAGGGCATCTAATTTCTAGAGTTGTGGTCATCAACTGAGATATGCAGTGCCTGACATATAGTAAGGGATTAATAAACATTAGTAATTACTACAACTACTATTACTAGTGCAAGTACTATCAGAATAGATATTTTAATGAAATTTTTATTGCTGTAAAATTGTTGACAACAAACTGTGTGTCAATGCTCATTTGGTAGTTCTTAAATCTTAGTATGCATCAGAATCCTGTGGTAGGCTTGATTAAACAGTGACTGCTAGACTTACCCTCAGAGTTTCAGATTGTGTAAGTCTGAGGTGGGGCTCTGCGAACTGACATGACACACTCATGATCACTGTCTACTCTGTGAAGTTTCTCACTTCACTAACAAAATTTTAAAAATAGTCAATCCAGTGGTTAGACAATACTCTACTGCACAGGTAACATGTGGTCATATTTTTCACTTTTATGAATTTTTCTGATGGTCTATAAAAATAGCACCAATTAACTACGATATTTTGATATCATTTAATCTGGAAAACACTTAAAAAGCATAATGTGTAGGATCTTGAGGCTCTGCTTCAAGAATAAGAAAATTTCAGAAAACAGTAACTTTATGGGTCTTGGTTACCAAAATGTCACTCCATATTAGTCAATAGAAAGCAGTATCTCCATTTTTTGCTAATATAGGGCTGAAAAATACTGCTTTCTAAAAACTATTCATCATTCAATTTGATAATATTCAGGGTAGTCCTTACCAGGCAAGTTGATATTATTAACTCTGACTTCAAACATTTAGTTTACTACATATATAATATTTAGGGAACTTTTTGATGTTGAATTACACCACCTTCTTGGTAAAAACACCTTACCACTTTGGGGAGTGTCAAGTCATTTCTACTCTTCATCACTGTGCTGTGGGGGTGATTAACCTCAGCTCCTAGCATCTGTGGAGATCATGTGACTAGGTCTAGCCAATCAGCATATTTCTTTCTCCGGGCTAGGGTAACTGGGCATGCAGTCCAAGTTAGTCCAATGAGGTACAACTACAACACTTTGCTCGGAAGCACTTGGAAAAAAGTTATCTTGGGCTTAAGGTAATTAAGATGATAGAATGTGAATCAGAAGCTAGGGGTCGCTCTCTTGTCTGCACACAGAAATATTTTGCCAGATATGACCAATCCAAATGAGAGCAGAGCTCAGAGAGAAAGTGTAATTTATGGTGACATTGAATAAATGAATCCAACTGTGCCTGAAGCCATGACATCATTATTTTTTATTCTCATATGGGTGTCAGTAAATCCTCTTTTTTACTTAAGCCGTTTAAATTGATTTTTATATCCATAACTGAAAGAGACCTCAATAATATCATTTGGGAACTATTATATTTTTTATAAAACATGAGTAACAATATCACCATGTAGGTGACAATATTTTATGGTATTTTATGACAAATCAGAGACATATTAAAGAGAGAAAAAAGAAAACATCTATCTCATTTTAAGGCTGTCAACATGCTATTATCTGTTTGCCATTGGTTGTTATTCTACATATTCTTTTTTTTCTGACAAAGTATCAGATTGTCTACATTGATATAGAAGTAAATTCAAATCGGCCATCATTCCATCCCCTTAATAAACACATAATATATCTCTTTCAAACTATTTCATAATATTGACATAGTTTAAAACCTACCCCCAAATTCTTTAGCATTCACCAAAGACTGCTGGTTTTTTATGTGTAAATCTGTGGTTTTTAAAATGAAGCACACAAAAAAAGAATAAAAACACTTAAAAATCATTTTAATCTCCACATGACACATGGAACGATAAAGGAATTTTAGGTTATATCTTTAATCGGGGGTGACTATGTCATGGTGACTATACTTTCATTTCTACTGCAATAAATTCTAATGCATTATAACCACTGAGTATTTTTGCACATCTCCTGAAAGCTCAGTTAACTGAAGAGAAAATCCATATAAAATTTAACTTTTCCCTTTTTTATGTAAATATTTTGCTACCTAATATATTTTCATATTAGTGTAAAGAAGACCAATTTTGTGACTAATTGTTCTTTTTCCTTCTTCCATCCTTAGGTGAATGACAATGTTGGTTTTCTGGGACACCGCTTCTACTTATTTGTACTTTATTAATAGTCTATTTCTATGGAAATTCATGCCAATTGCAAACAAATGTAGTAGTTGAAGGAAAGATCATCTAGGGACGTTTTCTAGTCTTCAGGAGTTGAAGGTCGTGCTCAGTCCACTTTTGTCGCATTGTAGTAACATAGCTATCAAATACTGTCAGAATCTCTCCGCTTTTGAGCTCTAAATATCCACATTTCACCAATGTGGAAAGTGGGACCGAGAGAATTTGTGCCTTCCTTAGGGTCACAGAGTCCTGATGGACACCTGGCCCTATGTTCTTTTTCATTCCTCATATCCCCTCGTAGTCATTTTCTTCTTCATAAAGTTGTGAGGACAAGATCTAGAATATCACCGTGTATACTGGCTGCAAAAGAGACACTGTTAAGAGGGGTTCTGAAATGAACATAACCAGGACCTCAGTGCTTGTAATGATTTCCAATGGGTTTATCGACTAAGAGTTTCAGCTCATAAAGCACAAACCCTTGTTATTGAATGAATTTAAATCATCTCTGGAAAGGTGTGATGCCTAAAAATCACCTTTGTCTTATAGAATACATTAAAAGACATCCTCAGATAATCCTTGTGGTGCAGTGCTATTAAAAGTCATGGTTCATTTTCTCGGGCTTACCTGGGTTATGGAATTCCAACACATTACATTCAAGGTCAGTTTTACACTGTATGTAGATCTGCAATTGGCCAATCTACTTTATAATTCTATAATAGGATATGATTTACTAAATGGGAATAGTTATGCTTGATGTAAAAGGGAAAAAAAGGAAGTGGGTTTATAGGACATCTGGGAGGCCAAATGATACAGTGAGAACAGGCTGTAGACTAGGTAACTGTATATCTTTGTTATCTCATAGATTAGTCATTAACTCGCTGGATGACCTTGAGCAAATCACTTCAGCCTTGAGAATTTCAGTTTCCCCGTAAAGGGAGTTGAAAAATTTCACCATTAAAATAAGTTAGAGCTCTATATGGGAAGCCTGTTAGATACAATATAGTGAATATTTGAACATTTGTGATTGTTGCTTTTAATCTCTCCTTTCTTTTGGGATTAGCCCCATTTTCACTCCATATGAGTCCCATGGGCTGCCAATCCTGCTTATGCCTTCTTCGCCTCTGCAAAGGCACGTGATTCAGAACTATCTATAAAAAAATCCCTTCCCTCCCTCCCTCCCTCAGGACACAACTGTTGGTCCACAGCTGAGCACATCATCAAAGAAGAACAATCAATCACTTTTGGAAATTCTGTGGACAAAGGGGTTGGAAGGTTAAACTAATTTTTCTGGGGTTGCTAACCAAAAGGCCAGTGTAAGTGGGGGGCTTTCCCATGATCATCTCTGCTACCAGATGAAAAGTTCCTAAGAATTAAGCCAGCCCAAAGGAGAGTAGAAATCAAAAATAGAAAGGAACTTCTGGATTCATGTTCCACATCTTAGAAGCTTGGAAGTTGCCACTTCACCCAAACAACAAGTAAAAAGCTCAACGAATGGAAAAATCACAAACTAATTTTAGGTCCATAAAACAGATGAGGTCACAGGGCAAAATCCTGTCCCCAGAATTGGAAAGACAGATAGGTGGATACAGAGAATCACAATATACCAGGGCAAAAAGCTCCCAGCAACAAGTGCTAGGTAGGAAAACCTTTACTGTAATCAATGAATTGCTGAAGGGTTGGTGTAGACAAGTCTGAGAGCTAAAAACTACAAGGGGATGTGGTCATGGGGGGTGGGGGGGGCCTTTGACATTTTTGTGACTTTAACCTCCAGGAACTCAACCAGGTTCTCACAGTGAATATTGGAGAAATCTCCTGGTGCTTCCAACCAGGAGAGGGAGAAAAGCAACCATTTTGAAATATACCAGAACACTATGTTCTTAACCAAGTATACCATTAGGAGAAACTCATTACCTAGAGCCTAACTTGATGGGGTTTTATCAGAGCCTAACTGGCATGGGGAAAGGACAGTACCCAACTTCAGTCAGCTCAAGTTTTGCATGTGAGAAAAGATAAATACCAATTCCAGCTCACTCTGATCACCCAAGGGGGAAGGAAAAAAACTGAAAAACATGAAGTTCACAGTACAGAGCATAGGCTTACTAAAATCCTGAAACCCAATCATAGGACACTTCCCCTCTTCTCACACTCTGCCACCACCTTATTAAGATCTTTTTACAGCAGTTCCTTTTACCCAGTACATAATGTCTGGTTTGCAAGCAAAAATTACAAGGCATACTAAAAGACAAAACACATAGTTTGAAAAGTCAGAGCAAGCATCAGAAACAGACATGTCAGGAATGCTGGAATTAACAAACAGAAAATGACTGCAAATTTCATTCAAATTAATGTCAGACACCAAACCACAGATCCAGAAAGGTCAGAAAACACCAAGCAGAATTAAAAAGAAAAGAAAAAAATGCCTACACCTAGGCACATCATTTTCAAACTACAGAAAAGGAAAGATAAAGTCGTGAAAGAAGTTAGAAGGAAAAGACACCTTACCTGCAAAGGAGCAAAGATAAGAATTATACCAACTTCCCTTCAGAAACTACACAAGCAAAAAAGAGAGAGAAATGAAATATTTGAAGGGTTGAAAGAAAAAACAGAAGTGTAGATTTTTGTAGTCTGCAAAATTATTCTTTAAAGTGAAGAAGAAATAAAGTTTTTCTCAACCACAAACTGAGGGAATTAGTCAGCAAACATGCCTTAAAGAAGTGTTAAAAGTTCTTTAGAGAGAAGAAATATGGGTCAGAAACTCTATTTAAAAAGATCTATTAAGAAAAGACAAGGATTGAAGAAAAACTAAGTGAGGGTAAAATAAAAATTTTTGTTTTTTTATTCTTCATTGATTTAACAGAAAACAATTTATTCAAAATAAAAGTAACAACATATCAATTACATATGCTCATATTACCATATATAGGATATCTAATACTTATTTTTGCTTATATATAAGTAAATTTCACTAGAGAAATGATAGAAAGGATGGGAGGAAGAAATTAGTATTGTTTTGTTATTGTAAGTTACTCACAGTACCCATAAAGTGGTATATTGTTATTTAAAATTTGGCTTGATTAATTGTGAATGTGTATTGCAAACTCTAGAATAACCACTAAATAAGTGAAAAAAGAAGTATAACCACTAAATAAGTTATAAAATAAGTCTTTAGTATAGCGTGCTAAAGAAAGGAGAGAGAATTGAATTATAAAATATGTATCATTAAAACCACAAGGCAGAAAAAGAGTCACAGACAAAAATAGGAACAAAGAACATAAACAGTAAATAGAAATAGTAACAAATATGGTACATATTAATGAAAGTATACCAACAATCACTTTGAGCAACAATGGTCTAAATATACCAATCAAAAGACAGGGATTGTCAGAGTGGATAAAAAACAAGACCCAACTAGATGTTGTTTACAAGAAACCAACTGTAAATACACAGATACCCACAGATTAAAAATAAATGGAGAAAAATATACTATGCTAATATTATTTAAAAGAAAGTGGGTGTGACTGCTGTGGTCTGGATATGGTTTGTTTTGTCTTCACCAAAACTTTGTTGAAATTTGATCCCCAATGAGGTGGTGTTAGGAGATGGGACTTAGTGGGAAGTGTTTGGGTCATGAGGCTTCTGCTTTCATGGCTGACTTGGTGCTGTTTTTGCAGTAGTGATTGAGTTCTCATTCTGGTGAGACTGGATTAATTCTCACAGGAATGAATGATTTCCCATAAGAGTGGGTTTACAGAGCCAGGATGCCTCTTGGGTTTTGCCTCTTCCTATGTGTCAGCTTCCCCACTGACATTCTCCATCGTGTTATGGCACAGCACAAAAAACTTTTACACAGAAAGCCCTCACCCAAAGCCAGCAGATGCTGCTGCTATGCTTCTTGTACTTCCCATCTTGTAGAACCATGAGCTAAATAAACCTGTTTTCTTTATAAATTACCTAGTGTCAGGTATTCTGTTATAGAAACATAAAATAAACTAAGACAGTGGCTATATTATTTCAGACAGGGCAGGCTACAATGCATGAAAGTTACCAAGGATAAAGAGAGACATTGCACAATGATAAAGAAGTCAATTCTCCAAGAAGACATAATAATCTTTATCTACGTGCCTAATAACAGAGCATCAAAATACATTAAGCAAAAACTGACAGAACTGCAAAGAGAAATAGATGAATCCATTATTATGGTTGGAGACTTCAACACCCTTATATTAGAAATGAATAGATCCAGCAGGCAGAAAATCAGAAAGGACATAGTTGAATTCACCACCACCACAAGTGAACCAGAAAAAATTCACATCTATAGATTTCTTCATCCAACAACAGCAGAACACACATTCTTCTCCAACTCACATGAAACACTCACAAAGATATGCCACATGCTGGGTCATAGAATATACTATAACACATTTTTAAAAATATAAATTATAAAAAGTCTGCTCTCAGATCACAATGAAATTAAACTAAAATTCAATAACAGAAAGATAACTAGAAAATCCCAAAATACATGGAGATTAAACAATACATTCCTAAATAACACAGGGATCAAAGAAGAAATCTCAAGATAAATTTTAAAATATTTTGAACTAAATAAAATGAGTGAAAACAAAAACACAACTTACCAAAATTGTTGGAATACAGTCAAAGCAGACATAAGAGAGAAGTTTACAGCATTGAATGCATATATTGAATGTATATATTAGAAAATTTTAAAAGATCTAAAATCAATTATCTAAGCTTCTACCTTAGTAAATGAGAAAAAGGAGAGCAAATTAAACCCAAGTAAGCAACAGAAAAGAGATAATAAACATTAAAGCAGAAATCAATAACATTAAAAACATGAAATCAGTAGAGAAAAATCAATTCAATCAAAAGCTGATTCTTTGAAAAGATAATTAAAATGATAATCCTCTAGCCAGGCTAATTTTAAAAAAAAGAAGATAAAGAGAATGGATACAAACTACTAATATTAAAAATGATGTCCTTTCATTTTTAATATTAGTACATGCTACAGATCCCATGTACATTGAAAGTATAATAAAGGAAGATTGTGTACAACTCAATGCTCACAAATTTAATAACAGATGAAACGGACCAATTCTTTGGAAGACACACTCTGCCAAAACTTGCATATGAAGACACAGACATTTTAAATAGGCCGATATCTATTAAAGCAATTGACACAATCATTAATAGCTTCCCTAACAGAAAGCACCAGGCTTCAATGGGTTCACCGGTGAATTCTATCAAATGTTTAAGGAAGAAGTTATATCAATTCTTTACAATCTCTTTTAGAAGACAAAAGCTGAAGAAATACTTCTTAACTCATTTAATAAGTCCAGCACCACCCAAATACAAAACCAGACAAAGACATTACAAGAAAACAAATCTACAGACCAATATCTCTCATGAACTTAGAGGCAAAAATCCTCAACAAGAAATTATCCAATCAAATTCAGTGTATAAAAAGAATTATGCACTATAATCAAGAGGGATTTATCCAAGGTATGCAATGCTGATTCAATATTTGAAAATCAATTAATATAATTCATCATATCCACAAGCTAAAGAAAAATCATATGATCATATGAGTAGATGCAGAAAAAGCATTCAATAAAATCCAACATCCATTTATGATTAAACACTTAGTAAACTAGAAATTGATTTTAAAATGTACAACTTGATTTTAAAATGTACAAAACACCTACAGCTCACATTATATTTAGTGATGAGAAACTAGAAGCTTTCCCACTAAGATCAAAAACAATGCAAGGGTGTCGCCTCTCACCACTCCTTTTCAATGTTCATACTGGAAGTCCTAGCTAATGGAATAAGACAAGAAAAGCAAAGTATACTGATTGAGAAGGAAGAAATAAAACTCTTTGTTCTCAAATGGCATGATTATGTAGAAAATCCAAAAGATTTAACTGAAAAACACACCTGGAATTAATAAGGGATTATAGAAAGGTTACATGATACAAGTTTAATATGCAAAAGTCAATCACTTTCCTATATACCAGCAACAAACAGGTGTAATTTGAAATTAAAAACACAATACCATTTACATTAGCATCCCCCAAAATGAAATACTTAGTACAAATCTCACAAAATATCTTTATATGAGGAAAACTTTAAAATTCTGTTGAAAGAAATTAAAGAACTAAATAAATGGAGAAAAATTCCATATTCATGGAAAAGAGGACTTAATATTGTCAAGATGTCAGGTGTTCCCAGCTTGATCTATAATTTCAATGTAATCCCAGTCAAAATCCCAGAAAATTATTTTGTAGATATTGACAAATTGATTCTGAAGCTTATATGGAGAGGCAAAAGAGTCAGAATAGCCAACACGACATTGAAGGAGAAAAATAAAGTCGAAAGACTGACACTATCTGCTTTCAAGACTTACTGTAAAGTTATAGTAACCAAGACAGTGTGGTATTGGTAAAAAGAATACACAAATAAATCATTGACACAGAACAGAGAACCCAGAAATAGATATAGTCAACTGATCTTTAACAATGAACAAAGGAAATACAATAGAGAAAGATAGTGTTGTTAACAAATAAGATTGAAACAACTGGACATTTATGTGCAAAATCAATCAATCAAGGCACAGACTTTATACTCTTCATAAAAATTAGCTCAAAATTGATTACAGACCTAAATGCAAAATGCAAAGCTATAAAAATCCTAGAAGATAACATAAAAGAAATTCTAGATGACCTTGGGTTTGGTGATTACTTTTCAGATATGACAGCAAAGGTATGCTCCATAAAAGAAAAAATTGATAAGTTGGGTTTCATTAAAATTAAAAATGTCCATTCTCTGATATTTTTAATATCAAGAGAATGAAAAGACAAACCACAGAATTGGTGAAAATATTTGTAGAGGCATATCTGATAAAGGACTGTTACTCAAAATGTAAAACAAACTCTTTAAACAATAAAAAATCAACAACCTGATTAAAAAGTGGACCAAAGACCTTAACAAAATATCACCAAAGAAGGCATAGAAATTATAAATAAGCATATGAAAAGATGCTCCAGATCATATGTCATCAGAAAAATGCAAATTAAAAAAAAATTAGATATTACTACACATCTATTAGAATGGCCAAAATTCAGAACACTGACAACACTAAATGCTGGGTGAGGATGTTTGGAACAACAGGAACTCTTAACCATTGCTGGTGGGAATGCAAAATATTACAGACACTTTTGAAGACTGTTTGGTGGTTTTTGACAAAACTAAACATACTCTCACCATAAGATTCACTAATTGTGTTCCTTGATATTTACCCAAAGGATTTGAAACTAATGTCCACACAAAAACTTGCACACACATTTACAGTAATTTTATTCATAATTACCAAAATTTGGAAGCAATGAAGATGTTGTTCAGTAGGTGAACAGATAAAACTGAGATACACCCAGACAATGGAATATTATTACGTGCTAAAAAGAAATAAACTATCAAGCTCTAAACAGACATGGATAAAACTTAAATGCATATTATTAAGTGAAAGAAGTCAGTCTGAAAAGGCTCCACATTGTATGATTTCAATTATAATACTTTCTGGAAAAGGCAAAACTTTAGAAATTGAGATTTTCATTTTTAACGACTAATACCCCAATTCATTCATTCATTAAATGAGTATTTATTGAACAACTTTTACATGGTAAGCCCTGAGGGTACAGTAGTAAACATAACAGACAAAAATATCTGCACCTACAGAACTTACATTCTAGCAGGACCAGAGTTACATTATATTTAACTACATACAATTCAAGTCTTAGAAACTTCCAACCCACCTATATACAGGAACAATTAAACGCAGAGTGACAAATAACACTATATACCTCACAGATCTTAGCTTTCCAAATGCTTTTTCTCACCAGTGAATTTGCAACTAAGTGTATCATCAGAGCCTGAGCCTGAAGGTACTTTTGTTAAGTTTTTAAACAAGGGCTCCTGCTTGCTGTTTTGACAAAGATATATTCATGCTTTGCTCGATTGTACATTTCTGTAGGAGAGAATTTTGAGTAGTCCCTGTCAACTAAGGTTAGATTTAATACAACCACCAGCCAGCAATTAAAAAAAAAAGGCATTGACATTTCTTTCTTTATAATTAGATGTTGCCACTGATATGGAGAATAAAGCCACCGTGGTCCTGAATTCTGAATGTTGCCTGGTGGAATTTTCATTGCATTTCCCGAACCCCATAGGAGCTTGTCCTTCTGATTGAACTGTCATAAAATTTGCCAGGTAAAAATCAAGTAATTCTAAAAGATACACCTGATCTTATAAAGGCAAATACTCCATACCATACCCACTTATTTCTCTTTCATTTCATAATTTTATTTTAAAAAGCAATATTATATACTCAGGGAATATATATTTTAGCACAGTATAAATGTTCTGTTTACGGGCAAATCATTCTAAATAAAAGAAAGCTGGCAAATATTTCTAAATAAACCTGTATTGGCAATACTTAACATAGTAAATTACTACACATTTACTTCAGTTGGTGATTATATATATTTACCAATTACTGCTGGGGTTTAAAGCATGTCTAAAGCATGATTCTAGGCCTTCTAGAAGAAAGTGACACATGTTGAGGCTGTGATAGGTCATCTAATATATTGGAGTTCTACTATATTTTCTTGTCCAGGATGTCTTCTCACACATTATCCTGGTAACAAAATACCTCTTTCTTCTGTGAAATCCATTCCATGCAGTTGGCAGAGACTATCTCCACTTTCAATGGCCAGAAGGATGTGGTTGGCTCTGATCAAATAATCCAATTCCTTTGGCCAAAGTGATTAGTTCAGTTGTTGGTAAATGAGCTAAACAGGGCCAATTAAAATTCTTCCTAGGACTGTTCTAAAGAAGCTATGGGGCATGGTCACTCAGCAGGCATGGATGGTGGCCATCTTTCTGCATAGTGAAAGAGCCAGTCTGTGAGATGGACAGGGGCAGGGAGCACTAACAACAGCAGTTTGAGCCTTGGTTCCAATCACAAATGAAATATAACACAGAAAAATAGAGCAGGAGTAAGAATGAGAGGCAGAAATATGACAACATCATTTTTCTCCCTATATGCAATACTCTGGGGCTTTGAAAATATTTAGGCAATAAATTTCCCTTTATTTTTCCTTATAGTAATTTGAACTGCATTTCCTCAACTAAAAGAATGCTGAGTGCACATTGGAAAGCAGGTGAATCAGAACAAATATAGATCCCACATAAGTATCACCAAAATTGACTAATTTATAGATAGATAGATTGATTGATTGATTGCTACATTTGGTCAGTATTTGGTCAGAAAAATCTAGAAAATCTGAGACCGTTAGAAAATGCTTCCAGGAGGACTGTAGACACAGAACAATGAACTAAATGCAAATTGCCCATTGGTATGAACATACTATTTCCATTTTACCACTTTTGAAGACTTAGGGGAAAGTTACAAGTTACGTGAACAGAAGAAAGTCAAGGCCGGATGGGAGCTGCTTATACACAGATGCAAAGGGCAGAACTAGGACCCTGATTCTTGACCAGTATCCACTTAATATATACCTGTCCTGAGATGAGGATTATTTCTCAAAACCTCAGCTTTGTGATCTGTGGCCCATTTTCTAAAAGCCCAGCTGTCTCTAAAACTCTATACATTTCTGATGCTATTGAGACCAGAAGAAGAGAGAAAATATTTTTAGATATGTACATTATAAGTGACATGGGTCCAAGACATTTTCACAGCAGTAGATTCCAGCCGTAAACATTTTATCAAGAACCTACTACTTTCCAGGGTGGGTGCTGAGAGTTAAAGGAAATACAAAGACATATATGATATGGATCTATGTGGAAAGACAGAAGAAAAAAGAAAAAAGAAAATATTATATTATAAGAACCCTAATGAAAAGTAGAAATCTCTGTGGCCTGATATATTCAAACATAGCGTGATCATACTAGGGATGGCTGAAAACAGGATTTCTCAGCCTTAACATGGTGGACAAGTTGGGCTGAATAACTTTCTGCTATGGGTGTCTTTCCTGGACCTTGTAGTACACTGAACAGCATTCCTGGTCTCCACCCACCAGATGCCAAGGAGCAAAACAGGTTGTGACAGCCAAAAATGCCTCTGGACTTTGCCAAATGTCCTTTCGGTGGGGCAGTTACCCCTGGTTTAGAACCAGTGGTCTAGAGGTACTGATGTTTAGAGACAGAATGGTCATAATGTCGAATTTCAGATAAGACATGATCATAAGCACCTATATACAAGAAGTCCTCAAACTCAAACTGTTAATCTAGGATGCCAATAATCCCAGAAGTCTGTGGCAGTCTACCAGGGGTAGGGGTAGTGTAAAGGCACAAGAAGCCTTATGTTGTATTTTCCTGGGGCACAGACTTATCCCTTAAGGATTTAGAAAGAAATTAAGCATTTTAAGTAGTAATTTAAACATCCATTTTTATATTTAAACAAATGCACATATATTACAAGGCAAACCCCAAATTAGAGTAAGGCTTGAAAGAACATTTCCAAATGCTCTGGGCTATTTAAGGCTATAGTCACAACCTCTTCAAGCATACATTCAGCCTCTGATATGAAGAGAACACTGAAGCAGCATGTGAGGACCCAGACATGGATGGGCATGTAAGGGATATATCCACTTTAAACAGGATTACAGGAAATTAAATGGGCATACCGAAAAACTGACTACTACAGAGAAATGTGGGAGAAGACAACTATTACTAGTTAGTACTGATAATGACGATGATGACGCTCACACACCTGTAGGGAAGACTTCCTATATGCCGGTCTCTATGTTATACACTTTACCAACAAAACCTCACACCAACCCTATGAGACAGCTACTGATGTCACTGCCATTTTAAAGATAAGGAAACTAAGACTTCATACTTTGAAGTATTTTGTCCTAAGTTGCAAAGCTAATGTATTAGTTTGCTATGGCTGCCATAACAAAGTACCACAAACTGGGTGGCCTACAACAACAGAAATGGATTCTTTCACAATTCTGGAGGCTGGAAGTCTGAAGGTACATTATTTCTTACATAGATATTATGTACTCCCTGCCAACAACAACAATAACAAAAATATTGCTTCCATATTATTTAGTTAAATTTTTTTAGTACAATATATCTTTCATAACGATTGCATAGCAATTGATGTTGAATCAATTGTCATCAGATATCCCATCAGCATATTTGCAAAGAAAATTGTCTGGTTAGTCTCATCTTTTTAATTTGTTCTCAGTGGCTATGGAATTCCAATCTTGCACACCGGAAAAATCTACGTGGGGAAAACAATGTAGATTTCCATTTGATCATACTTCAGCCACCAAGGTAGATAGAAATGCTGCTCTTAATGCCTCACTTTCTCCCCAGGGTAGAACTGTTCATGCCCTTTGTCATTTGGCTTGGTAGTGACTCCTCCTGTGGAGGGACAGTATGCATTCCTACCCCATTGACTTTGAGGCTGGCCATTCTACTTGCTTTGATCAGTGGGCAGAAATGACTGTGTTCCAGTTCTAAGCCATAATTTTAAGAGTATTGTAACATTTCACCAGTCCTGTTGAGTTTCTGCCCTTTGCTGTGGGAAAAGCATGCCCCAGAGAGTCATTAGTCTTTCAGCCCAAGTCTCAGAACAAAGACACATGAAGTGGACTTGAATCTGACAAAAGCATAAATATATCTAGGCCTAAAGCTTAAAAATATAACTTTGCTCAGCCAAATTCAGCCAAGGTCAGCAAGACCACAACTGAACTGCAAACCCACAAACCTACAAATGTTTGCAGTTGTAAGAAACTGGGTTTGAGGGTTGTTTGTTACACAGTATTAGGGCGGCAGAAACCTGACTAACACAGCTACCATATATGATAGATACAGAAGAGACCTGTTCATTTTTTTTTTGCAATCCACTTTAAAGCCTAGGCTTTTTAAACCTGAAAAATGTGAAAAACAGAATTTCTCTAAGAAAATTGTATTTTCCTATTGATTTGCATAATAATTTCAGAAACATTTTTGCTTAAGGAAAGATGTTTTATTCAAAATGATAATGGAAACTACACTCAAAAATGCAGCAAACTTAACAAACAAAACTGTGTTCAATTCTCTGTTGTTGAGAATGCAAGAAACTATTGAGTATCAATACATGAAAAGGGGAGACACTGGAAGGAGACATCTGACTTTTCTGTTTTCTTGTTTGCTGTTTTAAGTTTCAAAGGCAGTTGCTTTAGATAAGTATTATTTCTGTGAATTCTATTGAACTTCTTCCTTTCCTTGACATTTTTGGTAAAAATGTTACAGTTAGGGGACAATGCTTTATTATCTCTTAAACTTACATTAAAATACCTTTTTATTACAAAATAATCCATGTTTGAATAGTAGAAAAGTACTTAAAATAAAATCTCTCTCCTACTAGATTCCATTCCCTAAATACCACAGTTAGCAGCATGGTATGTATAATTAAGATTTTTCCAACTTTTCTGCTATCCCAACTTACTTTGGAGCTTATTTTTTATTTAGGAAGAAGAGGCAGGTACTGTGACTAATTCCTCATACTTAAAACACTTCAGTGATTTTTTTCATCGTCTTAGGATGGAGCTCAGCATCTTATTAAGGTTTAAGGAGACTACCATATCTGTCCATGCCCACCATTGGGCTCAAATAGAGACAACCTCAACTTTGCTTTGTATGTTTTCCTTCTCAGCCCTCCTGTGCCTCTATGGACACATTTCCACACTCTGTTCCCTATTCTGAACTATATTATAGCCTCTTCCATTCCTGAGTAAATTCCTAGTCAAGTTTCAGGTCTCAGCTGATCCATCACACCCTCCAAGCCTACTTCTTTTACTTCCTTAGACTAGATAACACCCCTTGCTATATGCTTGGAGTGTCCCTTTTATTTCCCTACTAAATCATTGATTAAAATTTTATTTTATTTTTTAATACTAATGATTTAACATAAAGAAATTGCAGGATGTGAACTATTTCAAGATCAATGGATAAATGATTATTATTCAACAGAAAGGATATTGATATATAAAATAAGGATAGCACAAGAAAAACTGCATTCCATTTCTCTTAACTTTTTAGGTTTTGTTTGTGAACTATACAGCTCTCTAGAGATGCTCCTGTCAAATTCAGATTCCATTCAATGGGATGATGAAGGCACATCATAATGGTGCTCAATGAGCAACTTGCGGTATTCCCATCAGACACATTCAGTTTCTCATCTGTTTTCATTCGTAACACACTGGCAGATGCCATGACCACATAATGGAGACATGGAGGCCAGGTGGTGAAGGAGGTAGAACTTTATCTTGGAGTGACCTAGTCTTCAACCTTTTGCCAAATGCATCATTTTGGAGAGAATTACAGGGCAAGAGAGGGGAAAAGACCTCATTTATCATAATTTTAATCACTCCTGTTTAGTTTTAATTGTCATAATCTCCATGAGAGCAAAAGCTGTATCACTCGGTCCCTTACAGCACCTGGATCTGGTACCTAGTAGTTACTCAGTAAATAGTTGTTGGACTAGAGCGAATAGTGCTCTTATAGCTGAAAAGACAAGAAGCACTTAGGAACTAAAGCTGATGATATATGTAGGCGGGACTTTAGAAAGGAAAGGGAAACCAAAGCAAAAGCAGATAAACCAAGAATATAGAAAGAGATCCTATACTTAGAACTCACCTAAGAATGGTTGAAGCAAAGAAAGTGAATAATTTATTCAACATTGATTGAATGACGTTGAAGTGATTGAGTGACATTGAAGAGTTTACGAAAACACCACCAAATCACGTCTTAGATAATAACTATATCAATCAGGCCTCCAGAATT